>NW_003315970.2:0-116689 GCF_000001405.40 Homo sapiens
CACTTGGCTTCACGTCTTGAGCAATCTGCATATGCCTCCTCCCTAGGCCTCCTCCTAATGAGAGTTGATGATTGTCCTAGTGTGGGATCAGCAGGCGAGTGACTTCATGCCAGAGAGGAGTGACTAGTGGTGATCTGTGGACTGTTTGTGACTTACCTGTGATGAGTCCAGAGGTTGAAAGATGTATTTAGAAACTATAGTCTGACATTGCCACAACATCCAGCTACCTGTCCATCTTGTTAATGATTAACTTTAATTGTATTCTACAAAAGTTTTGGTCTATGTGATATGTTGCAAAATAAAAAAATTTTAAAAAGTGAGGCCAGGCTCGGTGGCTCACACCTGTAATCCCAGCACTTTGGGAGGCTGAGGCGGGCGGATCACCTGAGGTCAGGAGTTCAAGACCAGGCTGGTCAACAATGATGAAACCCCGTCTCTACCAAAAATACAAAAATTAGGGGGCGTGATGGTACACACCTGTGTCCCAGCTACTCAGGAGGCTGAAGCCGAAGAATCACTTAAACTCAGGAGGCAGAGGTGCAGTAAGCTGAGATCACACCACTGCACTCCAGCCTGGGCGACAAGAGCAAGACTCTATCTCAAAAAAACAAAAACAAACAAATAAAAAAACTGGCTCCATTGATCCTTTGAAAAGTAGTAGCAGCTGGGCACGGTGGCTCATGCCTGTAATCCCATTACTTTGGGAGGCAGAGGTGAGCAGATCACCTGAGGTCAGAAGTTCCAGAGACCAGTGTGGCCAACATGTTAAAAACCCCTTCTTTACTAAAACTACGAAAATTACCCGGGCGTGGTGGTTGGCGCCTGTAATCCCAGCTACCTGGGAGGCTGAGGCAGGAGAATCACTTGAACCTGGGAGGGGAGGTTGCAGTGAGCCGAAATCATGCAACTGCACTCCAGCCTGGGTGACAGAGCAAGACTCTGTCTCAAAAAAAGAAAAAAAAAGAAAAGAAAAGTAGTGTAGTGCTTTAAACTAATCTCTATTTTGCAACTATTTGAACATTTTCACATTAAACAGCTTAAAAACAAACCTAATGGATATCTTCAAAAGAAACACTCTTTTAGTCAAAACACAAAGTGAAAATATTCACAATGATTATATGGCAAATGGGTGGTAGAAAGGTTTTCACACTTTCCCATAACTTACCGGTGTAATTTTGAAATTGCTTTTATGGTCAGAGAAAAAAAAAAGTGTTGGAAACTTTTTTTTTTTTTTTTTGAGATAGTATCTCTCTCCATCGCCCAGGCTGCAGTGCAGTGGCATGATCACAGCTCACTGCAGTCTCAACCTCTTGGGCTCAAGCCATCCTCCCACCTCAGCCTCCTGAGTAGCTGGGACTACACGTGCACGCCATCATACCTGGCTAATTTTTGTATTTTTTTGTAGAGATGAGGTTTCACCGTGTTTCCCAGGCTGGTTTTGAACTCCTGGGGTCAAGAGATCCACCCGCCTCAGCCTCCCAAAGTGCTAGGATTATAGATGTGAACCACCCAGCCTGGCTCCGGAAACAGATTTTTTAAAGGGAGACATAGTATCTATCCCTTAGAGTTCTGTAAGAGTAGAATATGTAAAATATGGGACCTGTGGCAATTTGTAGCCATGAGCTGTTAAGTAGTGGCCGTTTGCGCTAGATAGAAAAATGTAACCAACAGCACAAGTGCAGTAAATCAACTGACCAGTTAGTTACCTGAGTGTTGAGGAATTAAGGCTTCTATTTGTAATTGTAGCAGGTGCTGCTGACTTTTTCAGGGGATTGGATATGTACTGTGCCACAGAATTTTTTATCATTATTTGCTGACTTGAACAGCCAGAGCTTCTCATATGCTTAGAGACCACCGAGAAAGACAGTAAGTCCCCAGCAACTTAAAAACCATTGCATGTGAATGTCCACTGGGTAAGCTCCTGAGTGTTCATAATCTCAGCAAGTGAAAATATCATGTAGCTGGAATGCTTTTGCCACCTTTATAAACGATCATGATAGTAACATTTATTGGTCAGACGAGATGCCAAGTGCTTTATATACATTACCTCTCTTAATTTTCTCAGCCATTCTTTCGAACTAGGTTATATCTCTAGTTTACTTCCTGGAAAGTCAAACCTTTCTTGATAGGAAGAGCCAAATAATCTAGGTCAATAACTTGATGTCCAGTTGTTGTTGTTGTTTTTGAGACGGAGTCTCGCCCTGATGCCCAGGTGGGAATGCAGTGGCGCTATCTCGGCTCACTGCAACCTCTATCTCCCAGGTTCAAGCGATTCTCCTGTCTCAGCCTCCCAAGTAGCTGGGACTATAGGCACCTGCCACCATGCTTTGCTAATTTTTATATTTTTAGTAGGGACGGGGTTTCACCACGTTGGCTAGGCTGGTCTCGAACTCCTGACCTCAAGTGATCCCCACCGCACCCCCCCCCGCCAACCCCCGCCAGCCTCAGCCTCCCAAAGTGTTGGGATTACAGGCATGAGCTACCATGCCTGGCCTAGTATTTCTTGAAGAGAACAATTTCCTGGTTATGGCTGAGGAATCAGAAAATGCCTTTTTATTTCTCATCTGCAAGGTGATGGAGGTGGGATCAATGATGTTCACCTAATTGACTTTCATCATAATGTCCCCGCCCCCAATAGAAAGATCCTAAAGGGTCAGTCCTTAATTATCAAGATTAAATGATTAATGTTAATTATATTTTATTTTATTATCTGTGTGTGATAAGTGTTAATCAAACTATGCTGTTAAGACCCAGGATATCCTCCTATTCTTTTTGTTTGTTTGTTTGATATGGAGTTTTGCTCTTGTTGCCCAGCTGGAGTGCAGTGGCATGGTCTTGACTCACTGCAACCTCCACCTCCCGGGTTCAAGTGATTCTCCTGCCTCAGCCTCCCAAGTAACTGTGATTACAGTATGCACCACCGCACCTGGCTAATTTTTGTATTTTTAGTAGAGACAGGGTTTCACCACGTTGGTCAGGCTGGTCTCGAACTCCTGACCTTAAGTGATCTGCCTGCCTCAACCTCCCAAAGTGCTGGGATTACAGGCATGAGCCACCGCACCCAGCCCCTCCTATTCCTAAATATGCATAAAGTCTGAAATGCCTGGATCTGGGATAGGTAGATCAAAGGTGTTGGGATGGGTCAGGAAGGCAGAGTTGTTCATTCACCTCTTCACTGGTTGTTAAATGGTCCTAGTGTTTGGCCCTGAGTGTATAAAAATGATTAAGACAATGAATGTAGAGAATAGTCTACTTAGAGACCTTGTCAGAATGTCTGTATTACCATGTGTACTATAATAGATACACATACACTATGTGCCATGATTTTTCAAAAGTGCTAGAATAGAAATATTTTTAAATGTTATAGGACACTACTTGCCAGGAAGAGTTGAAGAAAGTCCAATAGAGGAAGAACAAACTGAGCTGGGTTTTGAAGCATGGAGTTTCAGATTAAAGAAAAGAAGAAAAGGCCAGGTGTGGTGGCTCACGCCTGTAATCCCAGCACTTTGGGAGGCCGAGGCAGGTGGATCACTAGGTCAGGAGTTCGAGACCAGCCTGGCCAAGATGGTGAAACGCTGTCTCTACTAAAAATACAAAAATTAGCTGGGCACAGTGGCGGGTGCCTGTAATCCCAGCTACTCAGGAGGCTGAGGCAGGAGAATCGCTTGAACCCAGGAAGTGGAGGTTACAGTGAGCCTAGATCGTGCCACTACACTCTAGCCTGGGTGACAGAACAAGACTGTCTCAAAAAAAAAAGAGGCCGGGCTCAGTGGCTCACACCTGTAATCCCAGCACTGTGGGAGGCCAAGGCAGGCAGATCAGGAGGTCAGGAGATCAAGACCATCCTGGCTAATAATGGTGAAACCTCGTCTCTCCTAAAAGCACAAAAAAATAGCCAGGCGTGGTAGCAGGTGCCTGTAATCCCAGCTACTCGGGAGGCTGAGGCAGGAGAATTGCTTGAACCTGGGAGGTGGAGGTTGCAGTAAGCCGAGATCACGCCACTGCGACACTGCACTCCAGCCTGGGGGACAGAGTGAGACTCTGTCTCAAAAGAAAAAAAGAAAAAGCAATATGCAAAATTATGTAGGTCCAAAATAAAATAGGATAGAGTTTATGGTATTTTAGCGAGTGGTGGTGATTGGTCTGGGATAAGATCTTGAAGGATTTTCAGCTTACTCAAGTCTGAACTCTACCCTCCATGCCAGGAATCGGCAAAGTTTTTCTGTAAAGAACTAGACAGTATGCACTCAGATGGTTACAGAAGTTTGATTAAATGGCTGATTTCTGAATTAGGTATGGCGCTTGAGACTCTGCCTAGGGAGAGTGCTCAGGTCATGCTTATATGTGAAAATGTGTCGTTATTTTTTCCTCTTGCTCTCACACATGTCCCTTGGTTTCCTAAGTGAGGTTTTGAAAATGAAATTTTGACAGTTGAGCCAAAATGCCCTCTATAAGCACGTGTATTTCCTTCTTTAAAGAATTCCCTCTCAGGAATTCCCTCTCTAATGTATTGTAAGATTTGGGGTTCGACCATTAACGCATTAGTCCAGTTCAATAAGCTTCATTTTTTTTTGTTGGTAGCAGGGTCCATTTTATGGGCGAACATACCAGTAAGTTCCTTGCCTTCGGGGAAGTTTAAGTTTATTAAAAGCAGTTACAGATATATTACAGATGTATTATACAGGAGGTTCTCAAGAGGCAAGAAGGTTCAGCAAGTTCATTGTCTTAATTACAATAATTTTTTTTTTTTTTTTTTGAGACAGAGTCTCTCTCTGTCACCCAAGCTGGAGTGCAGTGGTGCAATCTCGGCTCACTGCAGCCTCCACCTCCCAGGTTCAAGTAAATTCTCTGGCTCAGCCTCCCAAGTAGCTTGAATTACAGGCACCCACCACCATGCCTGGCTAATTTTTATATTTTTAGTAAAGATGGGGTTTCACCATCTTGGCCAGGCTGGTCTTGAACTCCTGACCTCATGATCCACCCACCTTGGCCTCCCAAAGTGCTGAGATTACAGGCGTGAGCCACTGCGGCCAGCCTACAACAATTTTTTTTTTTTTGAGACAGAGTCTCGCTCTTGTCGCCCAAGCTGGAGTGCAGTGGCGTGATCTCAGCTCATTGCAACCTCCACTGCCGGGTTCAAATGATTCTTGTGCTTCAGCCTCCCAAGTAGCTGGAAATGCAGGTGTGCACCACTATGCCTGGCTAATTGTTGTATTTTTAGTAGAGACGGGGTTTCACCATGTTGGCCAGGCTGGTTTCAAACTCCCAAACTCAGGTGATCCGCCCACCTCAGCCTCCCTAAGTGCTGGGATTACAGGCGTGAGCCACCACGCCCATCCAATTAGAATAACTTTTTACATGTTGTATTTTTAAAATTCATAACTCATAATCTAAAATTTATGCTCAGCACAGCTAACTTTGGAGACCTACCAAGAATGGTGCAATGATTCAGCAGCTACTCATGGTAAGACAAGAGTATCTGGGTGTAACCTGTATGAAACCTGCATCTCACAACCACTGCTCCTTCTCCCCAGCCTTCCAGCCCTGGTGTTTCCCATCGGGGGCCATGTGGCCTGGAACACAGAGGCTGGGCTGCCCAAGGACAGGCCCCCTGGCCTACAAAAAGGACAGTCTTATCACAGATGTGCAATCCTTGGCACTTCCCTGTGGCGTCTGCAGTTCTGAGACTGATTTTCTTCTATAAATGTGAAAAGATAGGGGATGATAGGAAACCCGGATATAAGGCAGAACAATGTTGCTTGGGCCATCTCTTACACCTCAGTGAAACGGAAAATGAAGGAAATGGAAGGCTGGCATGGGAACCCCGACTTATACAGTGATGCCCTTTTGCTGTTCCACGCGTCGCTTGGGGTGGAAGCCCTTCCTTGTCCCCTCGCCACCCACCCCGGAGCCCCTTGGTGCTTCCTTTCTGAACTGAATGCTTAGACTGGGGAACTAGAGGTGCCCGGAAAGGGAAGTCGGGAAGAAGAGACTATTCCTGTTGGTTCCTCCCCAGAGATGGGAGATGGTGAACAGGCGTGTGGAGGGCGGAATAATGGTCCCCAAAGATGTCCACGCCCTCATCCTCAGAGTCCGTGAACCTGGGAATGTGCTGCCTGACGTACAAAAGGGACTCCGCAGATGTGAGTAAGTTAAGAGCCCTGATGTGGGGAGATTGTCTTGCATTGTTGGGCCAAGTGGCCTTATACCACCACAGGGTCCCCAAAAGATGGAGCAGAGGCAGAAGGTTCAGTACCAGGGAGACAAGAAGGATGCGGCCAACCTTGCTGGAGGAAGGTGCCCTGAGCCAAAGAATGGGAGTGGCCTCTAGAAGCTGGGAAAGGCAAGGAAATGGATTCTCCCTGGAGGCTCGAGAAGGACCCCAGCCCTGCTGATAACTTGACTTTAGTCAGTGAGACTGACTTTAAACTTCTGACCAGCAGAACTATAAGAAAATAAATTTAGATGTGATTTTTTAAAATTTATTTATTTTTAGAGATGGGGGGATCTCGCTATGTTGGCCAGGCTAGAGTGCAATGATTATTCACAGGCATGATCATAGCACATGCACTACAGCCTCGAACTCCTGGGCTCCAGTGATCCTCCCGCCTCAGCCCCTTGAGCAGCTGGGACTACAGGTGCGCACCACCACGCCCAGCTAAATCTGGGTTGTGTGGAGTCACTAGGTTAGTGATAATGTGTTACAGTGATAAGAAGAACCTAATACAGGAAATAAAAGGAGTTGTCAGATTCTTTGAATGCCCAACCCTAAGCAGACACTCACCCTGTTCCTGGAAAGAGCCGGGTCCAGCTGCGTTTTCTCATGGCCCAATAACAAGAAGCAGACAAACTAGGAAGAAAGAGAATTTATTGCTGTAACAGGAAGGTCGGAGATAATCCGACCAGACCAACTCAAAGTGTTTGATTTTCTTTGTGCTTACATAGGTTTGGGTTATGTGCCTATGTGTGGTATTGCACTAAGTCTATGAGTAACTAATTTTGTTTCAACTAGAAAGTCAGAGGCCAAAAATGTGCTTTCTAAGTCTAATCAAGCTGTGAGGTCCCCGATACCGTCAAGGCCTGTCTCCTAAATTCTATTTAATGAGGACTGTGGTACCAGAGCATTTATTTATTTATTTATTTTTGAGACGGAGTGCCGCTCTGTCGCCCAGGCTGGAGCGCAGTGGTGCAATCTTGGCTTGCTGCAACCTCCGCCTCCCGGGTTCAAGCGATTCTCCTGCCTCAGCCTCCCAGGTCGCTGGGACTACAGGTGTGTGCCACCATGCCTGGCTAATTTTTCTATTTTTAGTAGAGACAGGGTTTCACCATGTTGGCCAGGCTGGCCTCGAACTCCTGACCTCAGGTGATCCACCACCTCAGCGTCCCAAAGTGCTGGGATTTCAGGCATGAGCCACTGTGCCCGGCCAGGAGTTTATTTCTATCTTGTCTCATTTACAGTTTGGTCCGGAGAGCTGCCTTAGACTCTCCAATAAATCTATTCAAACAGCTGCCTCTGTTATCTTGACTTGCTCCAGGTTTGGAAGAAGCCTGTGTAGGATCTGTGTTTCATTTCTGGCTTTGATGTCTGGGCGTCAGTTTCCCTGGGGTTAATTATTAGCTTAATGTGAAGGCAGCATTGTGGAAATTTCTCTGCATAGTTCGGATGCTATTCAGATCTGTCTGTGTGACTGTCATGCAGGCCTCTCTGTGTGACTGTGAGGGAGCATTGACCTGCCACCACCCCCCTCTGGAAGCATCCAGTCCCCAACTGGCTTTGGGCATTGCTAGGTCATAGCAGCCACAGCACACCTGGTGGGCCTGCCTCTTGCCACGCAGCTTTACCTGTCTGCCTTCGGCCCAGGATGTCATGAGGCCTGCTGTGTGTCAGGAGAAGTGTTGTTAGCTGGTTGGGTGAAGGTCACCCAGAGCTCATAGGTGTGGAGGGGAGGGGCATCCTATAACTAAACAAATGGCCGCAGACTTGGCAATTCATCTTTCAGAAGAAGAGCCAGTGGTCAGGCTGTCAGCTGATCTCTTTGAGGTTGAGCGCATTTACCGAAAATGTGTGGCTTGAATTTCCTGCTTTGAATTTTGGAACAGCATGTTTTTCAAACCTTTCTTCCACCTTCTGGGCATTTCTTATTAATCTTTTTGGTCAAAAGCCTTATCTTGATTATGTTTTCTTTCTAAGACAAAGGGCTCCCTGTGAAGTACCTGCTTGGGAAAGGGAGGAGTTGTGGCAGTTTCTTCTAGGTCCCCGAAGGCTCCCTGTGAAGTACCTGCTTGGGGAAGGGAGAGGTTGTGGTTGTTTCTTCCAGGTCACCCCAAAGAGAGGGATTCTGATATTGGTGGTGTTTCCGGGGGAGTATATTCTTTCTCTGTTTATTGCCCCCTAACCTTTTTTTTTTTTTTTTTTTTTTTGGAGACAGAGTCTCTCTCTGTCGCCCAGACTGGAGTGCAATGGTGCGATCTCAGCTCCCTGCAACCTCTGCCTCCTGGGTTCAAGCGATTCTCCTGCCTCAGCCTCCTGAGTAGCTGGGATTACAGGCGCTCACCACCGCACCTGGCTAACTTTTATATTTTTAGTAGAGACAGAGTTTTGCCATGTTGGCCACACTGGTCTCAAACTCCTGACCTCGAGTGATCTGCCTTCCTTGGCCTCCCACAGTGCTGGGATTATAGGTGTGAGCCACTGAGCTCGGGCCGTGTTGTCCTCTAACTTTAATGTGTGTGAGAAGCAGCTGGAAAGCTTGTTTAAAATGCAGATTTCCTGGGGGCCTCAGGACCTGCACTTTAACCAGCACCCCTGTGATTGCGATGCTGGGGGTCCTTGAGAGACGACAACTCTGATGGTGCCCAGAAGTCGGCGTTCCTTGCCCTCCCCTGCAGCTTGGGCTTTGCGTACCTGATTTAGGATGTTTGTGTGTTTTTGCGTGTGTAGTGTGTGCACGTGTGCACGTATTTGCGGACATTTACCAGACACTTCCTTGGTACTAAATCTGAAGCTAACGCGTGTCACATGATCACCACGTTAATCTTCGCCACAGCCCTGTGGGTGTATCATTATTGACCCCTTATTCCTGAAAAAGAAAACTCAAGCTCAGACAGGTGAAGTGACCTGCCCCGAGCCTAATGCAGTTACTAATGGTAGAACTGGGACCCCAGTCCGGCCAGACTCCAGGGCCCAGGACCTGTTCGTAACAACTGGGACCTGCAGGTGGAAAGGCTGCCCCAGGCGCCTCTTTTCTTTTTGTGCTGCCTGTACCAGTAGGGCCATCTTTGTAGCCAAAAGTCGGGGGTGTGGGGCCATGCCCAGGGGGACCTGGTAATGCCATTTCTGCACTTTGACAAAAACTGAGTTGTATGAATGACTTAGATAATGGACATTGAAACATTTTTGTAATTATTTCCCTCTCTCTCCTCCCTTCCTCCCTCTTCTTTTTCTCTGTCCCCCTCAAGACCCTCTTTCCCAGCTGCCCGCTCCTCAGCACCCGAAGATTCGCCTGTACAACGCAGAGCAGGTCCTGAGTTGGGAGCCAGTGGCCCTGAGCAATAGCACGAGGCCTGTTGTCTACCAAGTGCAGTTTAAATAGTAAGCCGGTATTTCTGTTGGATCCTTGCTGGGAGCTGTGGGGGCATCGTGCGGAACCCTGGGGCCACATACTAGTCCCTGCCTCTGTGCAGGGTTTGTTATCAAACCCGTGGGAAACACATCGTTCTTGGAGCTTGTAAAATCTCTGAGGACAGAGGTTTCACAGCCTCCCACTCATCTGAAGGCTTAAACTACACTGGCAGTCAGGACTCCGCTGTCTAACCACACGGGTTCTTGCTTTGGTGGAAAGTTCATTCTTTCGCTGGTTTCAGGAGAAAGGTTGTAAAAATAGGCTTCCACCATGGAAGAACAGGAGGCAGCTTTTAGTCTTCATCTTCGGGCTTAAAAATCGGATTGATTTAACCTTATAGACCAAATATGGCCTGATCAGAAATTTGTTTGGTTAATTACAATGAATTCTGAGTTTCTCAACTGGTTTTCCATTTTGCATATTATCCTGGCTCTTTCATCTGTCTCTTGCCTCTTCAAGCTTTTGCAGAATTGGCCATCACTTGATTTGCAATATAAATACATATAGAAAGAGGGCAAAGTCCACATCCTTTGTTATTTTTTGTTTACGTTGTTAAGTAGGTTAATTGAAGAGTAAGGTGAAGTTATTGGCTAAGTCATTTTGTACTATTTGGTAAACCAAATGTAAAGACATGATGATGTCCAGTGCTTGTGAGATGGGACTGGTTCATATGTGTTCACCTGATGCTGTTTGCAGAATCAATTAGCATAGCCCTTTCAAAGAGGAATTCTACCAGACATTTGAAGTCATGGAAATGTCCATAGTAGTTTTCCAATGTGTGTGTGTGTGTGCACGTGTGCATGTGTGTCTGTTTGTTGTTGTTGTTTTGAAACAGAGTTTCCCTCTATCGCCCAGGCTGGAGGGCAATGGCATGATCTCAGCTCACTGCAACTTCCACCTCCTGGGTTCAAGTGATTCTCATGCCTCCTGAGTAGCTGGGACTACAGGCATGAGCTACCATGGCTGGCTAATAGGTATATTTTTAGTAGAGATGGGGTTTTGCCATGTTGGCCAGGCTGGTCTCAAATTCCTGGCCCCATCCTCAAGTGATTTGCCCGCCTGGGCCTCCCAAAGTGCTGGGATTGCAGGCATGAGCCACCGTGCCCAGCCTTCATAGTAGTTTTATCCTACACAGATAATTCAACCCCCCATCAAAAAAAAGAGAGACAAAAACTATAATCATGAAGAGATACATGGAAGTGTATATTCATATCCATCAGTAGGAAAGTGACCAATTTTAGCCTGCTAACTTACGCTTGAACACTAAACCACAGACAGCCAATAGAAAGGATAATTAGATGTCATCTGGTAGAAATTGCAACTCTGTAAACTTTGGCATGTATTTGTATTTTTTATTTCTTATTTTTGTTACTTAAAAAAATTTTTTATTCACTTTTATACTGAAAAGTTGCAAGTGGTATGTATTTATTGTCAAGAATAGAAAGGGGCCGATCATGGTGGCTCACACCTGTAAAAGAATAGAAAAGTAGGCCAGGCATGGTGGCTCACGCCTGTAATCCCAGCACTTTGGGAGGCCAAGACGGGCGGATCACGCGGTGAGGAGATCGAGACCATCCTGGCTAACACGCTGAAACCCTGTCTCTACTAAAAATACAAAAAATTAGCTGGGTGTAGTGGCGGGCGCCTGTAGTCCCAGCTACTTGGGAGGCTGAGGCAGGAGAATGGCGTGAACCCGGGAGGCAGAGCTTGCAGTGAACCGAGATCGTGCCACTGCACTCCAGGCTGGGCGACAGAGCGAGACTCCATCTCAAAAAAAAAAAAAAAAGAATAGAAAAGTAATGTGGAAAAATGACAGGCAATTGATTTGTTAGAGGAGTAGGTTTCCAGGTAACTTGTTTTTCTTTTTCTTTTTCTTTTTTTTTTTTTTTTTGAGACAAAGTCTCCGTCACCCAGGCTGAAATGCAGTGGCACGATCTTGGCTCACTGGACCTCCGCCTCCCAGGTTCAAGCAATTCTTATACCTCAGCCTTCTGTGTAGCTGGGATTACAAGTGTGCACCACCCCACCCGGTTCAGATAACTTCTTTTTTTTTTTTCTGAGACAAGGTCTCACTCTGCCCCCCAGGCTGGAGTGCAGTGGCATGATCATGGCTCAATGCAGCCACAATTTCCTGGCTCAAGAGATCCTCCTACTTCAGCCTCCCAAGTAGCTGGGACTATGGGCGCACACTGCTGTACCCAGCTAATTTTTAATTTTTTGAAGAGATGGGGTTTTGCCATGTTGCCCAGGCTGGCCTCGAACTCCTGGGCTCAAGTGATCCACCCACCTCAACCTCCCAAAGTGCTGGGATTACAGACATGAGCCATCACACTGGCGTTTCTTATTTGTTTTTAAATGTCCGTTGTAACAGTATTTGCTTAATAGAAACAGGTGCTAAACTGAGGTTTGAGAGTTATCTCTAAATCACATTGATCTGTTCCTCCAGTAGTTATAAATTACGAACATTAAGTTACCTGTAATTAATGGAGCAATCCACCAGAGCAGGCTACACAATTTGCAAGACCCAGTGCAAAATGAAAATGTGAGACCCTTTATTTAAAAAGTATTAAGAATTTCAAGATGGCAACCGCAGAGCATCAAATGAAGTGCCTTTCTGAGAACGGGCTTGATGTGAGCGCACAGGTCACATGTCAGGAAGTTGGCCCTACCCTCAGCATTCAGCAAACATTACACCCTAGAGCTAAACAAGAAGCTTGTTGTGAGAGTCACGGCTGATGTATTGACTTAGGCTTGATGCTGATTTATGGGCTCCTTGGCCTTGAACAAGGAAGTACGTTTACTGATTTTCAGAGGAGATGCTTCTAAAAATGGGATAAAACGTTATTGCATTAAAAAAAAAAACCTTTGATAGAGTTTCATTTGATAAACTAACCTGTTTCACTTTGTCTTCTTTTCAAAAAGCATTTTATAGATATTTTCTCAGGGATAAAGGTTGGTTTTATTTTTTATTTATTTATTTATTTATTTTGAGACAGAGTCTCGCTCTGTCATCCAGGCTGGAGTGCAGTGGCGTGATCTCAGCTGACTGCAACTTTCGGCTCATTGCAACCTGCGGCTCACTGCAGCCTCCGCCTCGTGGGTTCAAGCGATTCTCCTGCCTCAGACTCCTGAGTAGCTGGGATTACAGGCACCCACCACTACGCCCGGCTGATTTTTATATTTTTAGTAGAGACAGCTTTTCACCATGTTGGCCAGGCTGGTCTCGAACTCCTGACCTCAGGTGATCCGCCCACCTAGCCTCCCAAAGTGCTGGAATTATAGGTGTAAGCCATCACGCCCAGCCTAGAGGTTGGTTTTAGTAAAAGAAACATAGGTTAGGGTACATGTGAATATTCCTGTTAGAAAAAGGTGAAATCGGGGATGATTTCTTTTTCTTTTTCAGTTTGTAGATTTGATAATGGAAGAGGGCCTTTGCATTTGTTTTTAGATACTTTGTTTTAGATACAAACATGTGTTTGGGACTTTTTATTAGTTTTGAGGCTTGTGAGACTTAAATTTCCACCGTGTTTCTCTACAATAAAGCATTGCTATGATTAAAAATGAAGATGCCTTTGTTTTTTGACAGAGTATCAAGACCAAAATTACATGGAGCACTTGATGGGAGAATTTCAAGTCTAAATCATGGGTAGCAGACAGTGGCTGCAGGCTATTTGGCTCCCAGTGTTTAATTTTTTTTTTCTTCAATTTGTTGCCAACATTAAGAAATCTGGACTTTTCACTTAGAAAAAAATAATAATAAATAACAGGAAAAAAAACCAATCCTGATGTCAGTTTTCCTTGAAAATGCAGACAGTCGGGCAGCAAGGCCCCTTCCAGATCACGCCTCCTGGTCTACTGCCAGCCCCTCTCTCAGACCTGCCCAGCCCTGTCTTCTCAAACATTTGTTTTTCATTTTCTTCTGATTTTAATAGCAATCCATGTTCTTTATAGAAAATCTGGACAATCTAGAAAAGTAGAAGAAAATAAAATAACCTGTTGTTCTACACTCTAAGAATAATCACTATTCTCATTTTATTTTACTTTTTATTTTATCTTATTTATTTATTTATTTGAGACAGAGTCTTACTCTGTTGCCCAGGCTGGACTGCAGTGGCGTGATCTCAGCTCACTGAAACCTCCGCCGCCTGGGTTCAAGTGATTGTCCTGCCTCAGCCTTCCAAGTAGCTGGGATTACAGGCGCCCGCCACCATGCCTGGCTAATTTTTTTGTATTTTTAGTAGAGATGCAGTTTCACCATGTTAGCTAGGCTGGTTTCGAACTCCTCACCTGAAGTGATCTGCCCGCCTCAGCCTCCCAAAGTGCTGGGATTACAGGTGTGAGCCACTGCACCCAGCCATTATTCTCATTTTAGACTTTTTTTTCTAAATTCGTTCTCTTGTTTGAAAATTGTGTGTGTGTGTGTGTGTGTGTAAACCAAACCAGACTGGGGTCACACTTCTGGGGTCTATTTCCTTTTTTATTTTAACTTGATGTAGTTAAATGTGAGCATTTTTTCATGTAATTATTTCTGTGTGGACATTGTATGTTTCATTATGTGACATATCACATGTGTTGTATTTAACTTTTCCCCAGTCATGGGCGTAGACAGTTGGCAGCTTGTGCCTGTCCTAAGTCATGACCTCGTACATGAATCATATCTGGTTATTTTCTTACACTTCTAGAAGAGAGGTTGCTGGGTCAAAGGGGATGGACTTACTTAATGTTTTTGTGAGTGACCTCACAAAGGCTGGACATAGCTCTTGAGTCCCAGGGACAGGCTGAGCCCCGGCAGTGGCAGGGGTTTGGGGGAGCAGGCCCTGCACTGCATTTGAGGAAGAGCCGTGCATGTTGCTCTTGGAGGAGGAGGAGCGGGGCGGTTAGAGGGTCTTTAGGTATCTGTCTACCTTGAAAAAGAAATCACTCACCTCTTCCAGAGCACGCCCCTCACCCCCGACCTGAGAGGAGAGGCTCGTGGTTTGCGATCCCTCTCCCCATTAGGGTCTGTCACCCTGGGGCTGAGTAGTAGGTATCTATGGCGGGTGTCTTCATGGAAGCCCTGGCCACGCATCTTGAAGTGGCTTTCATCTTGTCCCTTGCAACTTAAGCGGAAGATGCATCTTGGAGAGGGTCGGAGGTACAGTTAGAAGCATGTGTGGTACGTGAAAGCCGGTGGTCGTGGGGATACAGAGCGGTCTCCAGTCTCGTCTCCTGTCTCCCATGGCCTTGCTTTCTGGGCCATAGTTGCTGTTGTAGGGGGATACTGTCCGCTGCCCCTACTCAGGCTCCCAGCAGCCACCTCCTTGGCCTTTCTGAAGTCTGTCACCTAAGGCAAAGAGGTCAGAGCTGGGGACTAGAGTCCCACGTGGGAGTGTGGCATTGGGACTCTGGGAAAGGCACTGTCATTCACAAGGATGTGTGGCCATGTATTTGGCAAGGTTTTCATATGGGTGAGACAAATCCTCTTTGAATGGGCAGCTATGGGTGGAAAGAAACTCCGCACCAGCAGGAAGCAGGACTGGAGTTTGTATTAACACAGTTCCATTCCCAAAACATAGGCTACAGAGACTGAGTTTGAAGTATTAAAATCAGTTATGGGATGGAATGGGAGAAAATATTTGCAAATCATCTATCTGACAAGGGACTTGTATCCAGAATAGATAACGAACTCTTACAATTCAACAATTAGAAGACAAATAACCCAATTAAAAACCACAGCTGGGCACAAGGGATCACACCTGTAATCCCAGCACTTTGGGAGGCCAAGGCAGGAGGATTACTTGAGTCTAGGAGTTCAAGACCAGCCTGGGCAACAAGGAGAGACCCCCAACTCTACAAAGAAATTAAAAATAAAAATAACAGTAGCAGCCAAGCACAGTGGCTCACGCTTGTAATTTCAGCACTTTGGGAGGCCGAGGTGGGCGGATCACATGAGGCCAGGAGTTTGAGACCAGCCTGACCAACATAGTAAAACCCCGTTTCTACTAAAAATATAAAAATTAACCAGGCATGATGGTGCATGCCTGTAATCCCAGCACATTGGGAGGCCAAGGCAGGTGGATCACTTGAGGTCAGGAGTTTGAGACCAGCCTGGCCAACATGGTGACACCCCATCTCTACTAAAAATACAAAAATTACCTGGGTGTGGTGGCTCACACCTGTAGTTCCAGCTACTCGGGAGGCTGAGGCACAAGAATCACTTGAACCCAGGAGGTGGAGGTTGCTGTGAGCCAAGATTGCGCTACTGCACTCCAGCCTGGGTGACAGAGCAAAACTCCATCTCAAAAAAAAAAAAAAAAAAAGCGGGGGGGAACTGTATGGTACATATAAATTGTATCTCAATAAACCTGCGTTTTGAACAAAAGCTCTGGGGAAACTATTACACATGAAACAGAGAATTCTGTGAATTGAAATCCTTTTTTCCTTCCCAGCACCGACAGTAAATGGTTCACGGCCGACATCATGTCCATAGGGGTGAATTGTACACAGATCACAGCAACAGAGTGTGACTTCACTGCCGCCAGTCCCTCAGCAGGCTTCCCAATGGATTTCAATGTCACTCTACGCCTTCGAGCTGAGCTGGGAGCACTCCATTCTGCCTGGGTGACAATGCCTTGGTTTCAACACTATCGGAATGGTAAGAGAACTTGAGTATAGAACTTCCTTTATACTTTCCAGGTTTTCTTCACTTGCGGTATCGACTCCACACACCTCTGTCCTGCCTGTCACCCTAAATGACCAGCAGACAAATGGGTAGGACAGTCAAACCCACACTCTGACCTTGGAGGCTGATGCTAAGGGAGTGTGATTTGCTAAACCAGGGGTTGGCCAACTACAGCCTGCAGGCCAAATCGGGCCCACCACTTGTTTTTGTAAATAAAGTTTTATTGGAACACACAGTTACATCCATCTTTTATTGTGTCTATGACTGCTTTCACACTACAATGGTAGAGTAGTTGCAATAGCAGCTGTTGAGCCTGCAAAGTCTAAATTTACTGTGGCTCTTTACTGAAAAAGTTTGCCAACCTCATGCTAGAAGGGATGCTAGCATATCTCTCTGATCACCCTTACTTATTCTGGTGCAACTTCTTTTGTGTTGCAGAATAGGCACCTTGAATGGTGCCTGGCATGTAGTAGGTATTCAGTAAATATTTGTTGAATGACTGAGTGAACAAATATGTCCCCAGATATTGGAAGGAGACAGAAGAACCCTCAGATTCCAGTTCCTACATTTGTTCCTCCAGTAATTCATTTGTCACGTAGTCAGCCATGCCAGATGTTTCTTCCGTGTCTGGTTTATGCACACACAGGGCATGAAACTTACATGGATCTTGATTTAGACAAACTAATGTATAAGACAAT
This sequence comes from Homo sapiens, assembly GCF_000001405.40. Classification (NCBI taxonomy): domain Eukaryota; kingdom Metazoa; phylum Chordata; class Mammalia; order Primates; family Hominidae; genus Homo; species Homo sapiens. Next base: position 16,983 of record NW_003315970.2, read on the forward strand.
TGAAATGTGATCACCGTCTAGATATTTGATATATAATGAACAATTTTATTGTTGACTTATTTTCAGTGTTATAATGGTGTTTTGGTTATGATTTTTAAAGGAGGAGGAGGTCTGGTTAAGATGTTAAAGTTTATGTTATGTGTATTTTACCACAATAAAAAATTGGGGGAATAAAAAGAGTTCCTGCTGGGCGCGGTGGCTCACGCCTATAATCCCAGCACTTTGGGAGGCCGAGGCAGGCAGATCACTTGAGGTCAGGAGTTCGAGACCAGCCTGGCCAACATGGTGAAACCCCATCTCTACTAAAAACACAAAAATTAGCTGGATGTGGTGGTGCATACCTGTAATCCCAGCTACTTGGGAAGCTGAGGTAGGAGAATCGCTTGAACCGGGGAGGCAGAGGTTGTGGTGAGCTGAGATTGCACCATTGCACTCCAGCCTGGGCAACAAGAGTGAAACTCCATCTCAAAAAAAAAAAAAAAAAAAAAAAAAGCAAAATAATCCAAAGAACAGGAGGGACAAGGACAAAGCTTCCAGGCATAGAAGAAACAAAATTGGCCATAAGTTGACAGTTGATTCAGTTGGGTAATTAGTACATGAGTGTTTGTTAATGATCTTCCCTCTACTTTTTTTTTTTTTTTTTTTTTGAGACGGAGTCTCTCTCTCTTGCCCAGGCTGGAGTGCAGTGGCGCAATCTTGGCTCACTGCAAGCTCCACCTCCCAGGTTCACGCCATTCTCCTGCCTCAGCCTCCCGAGTAGCTGGGACTACAGGCGCCCGCCACCACACCCGGCTAATTTTTTGTATTTTTAGTAGAGATGGGGTTTCACCATGTTAGCCAGGATGGTCTTGAACTCCTGACCTTGTGATCCGCCCGCCTCGGCCTCCCAAAGTGCTGGGATTACAGGCGTGAGCCACCGCACCCAGCCTATCTTCTCTCTACTTTCTATGTGTTTGAAATTTTCTGTAATAAAAAGTTTTTTTTTGTTGTTGTTGTTTTTGAGGTGGAGTCTTGCACTGTCGCCCAGGCTGGCGTGCAGTGGTGCAGTCTCGGCTCACTGCAACCTCTGCCTCCTGGGTTCAAGTGATTCTCCCTCCCGGGTTCAAGTGAGCCTCCCAAGTAGCTGGGACTACAGGTGCACGCCACTATGCCCGTCTAATTTTTTGTATTTTTAGTAGAGACGGGATTTCACCATGTTGTCCAGGCTGGCCTCTAACTCCTGACCTCGTGATCCGCCCATCTCAGCCTCCCAAAGTGCTAGGATTACAGGCGTGAGAGCCACCGTGCCCGGCCAATAAAAAGTTTTTTAGAGAGGATCATGCCTGTAATCTTAGCCCATTGGGAGGCTGAGGTGGGAGGATCGCTTGAGCTCAGGAGTTCAAGATGAGCCTGGGGAATATAGCAAGACCCCATCTCTATTTTTTTTTTTTTTTAATCAGTGGTTTGTGCTAGGTACTGTGAGGGACAGAAACAGAGAAGACAGGGCAATCCTGCCAGCTCCTCGTCTGCTGTGGACAAGCCATTTGTCCTTGGGTGCCAAACCACCCTCCATTTGAGCTATAAAGTGTCAAATAAGTGGGAATTAGGAGTATGCAAACAAGTAATGATGGCTGGGCGCAGTGGCTCACCCCTGCAATCCCAGCACTTTGGGAAGCTGAGGCAGGCAGATCATCTGTGGTCAGGAGTTCAAGACCAGTCTGGCCAACATGGTGAAACCCCATCTCTACTAAAAATACAAAAGTTAGCCGGGTATGATGGCACACGACTGTAATCCCAGCTACTTGGAAGGCTGAGGCAGGAGAATCTCTTGAACCTGGGAGGTGGAGGTTGCAGTGGGCCAAGATGACACCATTGCACATCAGCCTGGGTGACAGAGCGAGGCTCTGTCATTTAAAAAAAAAAAGGAATGATACTTACCGCCACTGCCCAGGGATCAAGAGAAGGTAACAGAAGCAGGATGTATCGTGACAGTGGGTCCGGTGCCAGCCAGCTGCCGCTTCCGGCCGGAGTCAAGCACCCATGTTTCTGTTAGTTACTGGCTGGGCTGCTGTTCTCTGCCCTCGTGCTTGAAAAGCTTGACACAGTGGTGGTCTCATGTCACATCTGCCACTTTCACCTCTGCTGGTGGCGTTAGAATCAGTAATGGATATGGAGGTGGTTTACCAAGCAGAGGAGTGAGATGGTGGTTGGAGGGGGCAGGCTTTAGCATCACCCTCACCTGGGTTCATATCCCAACTCTGCCATTTATTGGCTGTGTTACTGTGGGCAAGTAGTGTCACCTCCTGGCTTCCGTTTCCTCGTCTGAGAAATGGGGATAACCTTATTTGTTTTTTTGTTTTGTTTTGTTTTTTGAGACAGTCTCGCTCTGTCGCCCAGGCTGGAGTGCAGTGGAGCGATCTCAGTTCACTGCAGCCTCCGCCTCCAGGTTTAAGTGATTCTCGTGCCTCAGCCTCCCCAGTAGCTAGGATTACTGGCATGGGCCACCACACCCCAGTTAATTTTGGTTTTGTTTTTGTGAGATGGAGTTTCACTCTTGTCACCCGGGCTGGAGTGCAGTGGCCCGATCTCGGCTCACTGCAACCTCTGCCTCTCAGGTTCAAGCGATTCTCCTGCCTCAGCCTCCTGAGTAGCTGGGATTACTGGCATGCACCACCATGCCCCACCATGCCCAGCTAATTTTTGTATTTTTAGTAGAAACGGCATTTCTCCATGTTGGCCAGACTGGTCTTGAACTCCTGACCTCAAGTGATCTGCCCACCTCAGCCTCCCAAAGTGCTGGGATTACAGGTATGAGCCACCATGCCCATCCCGTGATACCCTTATTTGGCAGTGACACTGATCGTGAGAGGCTTCGTGGAAAGGCCATTTACCTGGAGACTCCACACATTGTCGTCCAGTGTTCCCTAGAGCCAGCCTTCCTCCAGTGCTGTGAGAGGAGGCAGATTGTTCTCGCCTCTAGATGAGGTTTACTGGGTTCATGTCAGATTCCGGGCCAGGACTCTCTTCAGAAGGGCAGGTCTGAGCCCTGTGTTTTCAGCCGTGCAGTGGCCAGCTGTGGCTGGTGTCCACACTCCCATGTGCTAATGGAGATGCCCAAAGAATGTGTCCAAAGCCAGTCCCTGCAGGTGCTTCTGCAACGCACTTCTGCACACTCTGCTCACTTAGCTGGGACAAGGGAAGCTGGAGAACGTGTGTGCTGGTGTCCCTGGGCAGGCTGAGTGGAAGAGCATTTTGTCACTAGCAGTCAATCCACAAACATCACTATGGCTGGTGGTGGGCCAGGCCTGACCTCACTTCTGCCACTGGGAGTTGTCTGGACTTAGCACCTCCACCAGAACAAATGAGGGGGCACAACTACAAACTCAGCAGTTCTTTTGCACAGAGAGAAGCTTGGCCAGATCATACACCTAACCCTCACCAACCTGGAGTGCCCAGGGGAGAGAATCCAGCCCTGCTGTTGTGAACACACAGTGACAGGATTGTCTCCTTGTGTAAAATGTGCAGACATTGGTCTCTTAGAACTTCGAGGACCCAAACTGTACTTTGATCTGAGTTTCTCTGGTGAATTATACAATGTGCATGCTTACTTAATAAATGCTTGATAACCCCTCATTGATAGCACATCATGAGTCACAGTCCTAGCCTGACCTGTGAATTATATGAAAAGCCTGAACAAATAGACTTACATGGCAACACTTCTCAGTTATTGTGTTTAAATATAGTATGGGCATGGTGCTCACGCCTGTAATCCCAGCACTTTGGGAGGCCAAGGCAGGCGGATCACCTGAGGTCAGGAGTTTGAAACCAGCCTGGCCAACATAGTGAAACCCTGTCTCTACTAAAAATACAAAAATTAGCCGGGTATGGTGGCGTGTGCCTGTAATCCCAGCTACATGAGAGGCTGAGGCAGGAGAATCGCTTGAACCTGGAAGGCGGAGGTTGCAGTGAGTTGAGATTGCACCACTGCACTCCAGCCTGGGTGATATGTGCGAGATTCCATCTCAAAAATGAATAAATAAATAAATAGGCCAGGCGCGGTGGCTCACACCTGTAATCTCAGCACTTTGGGAGGCTGAGGTGGGCGGATCACGAGGTCAGGAGTTCGAGAACAGCCTGGCCAACATGATGATACCCTGTTTCTTCTAAAAATATAAAAATTAGCCAGGCATGGTGGCACACGCCTGTTGTAATCCCAGCTACTTGAGAGGCTGATGCAAGAGAATTGCTTGAGCCCGGGAGGTGGAGGTTGCAGTGAGCCGAGATCGCACAACTGCACTCTAGCCTGGGCGACAGAGCAAAACTGTCTCGAAAAAATAATAATAAATAAAGAGATAGATAAAAACGTGTGTGTATATATCTACACCCACTATATATATATATATACATATATATATAGCATTATATAATACATTGTATTATATCTATAATACATATGTGTATGTGTGTGGTTTTCTCTTTGTAATTCTTTTTCAGTGACTGTCGGGCCTCCAGAAAACATTGAGGTGACCCCAGGAGAAGGCTCCCTCATCATCAGGTTCTCCTCTCCCTTTGACATCGCTGATACCTCCACGGCCTTTTTTTGTTATTATGTCCATTACTGGGAAAAAGGAGGAATCCAACAGGCAAGAGCATCTTTCTTTTTTGTTTGGATTTTCTTTTCTTTGCAGTTTCTGGCTTAGCAAAAGAAAGAAACCTTTAACATGGGCAAGAACAGGGTGTCTCCATGTCCCCGTGTCCCCATAGAGGCTGAGCCCTGAGCCTGTTTTCATTGTCCTCTTCAAGACCTGTTTTTCCACTCGGTTTGCTGAGACCTCCCTCCGCCAGGCTGATCTGAAGGGCCAGCCATCCTTTGATGTCACTCTGTGTCCCTTGTGTGGGGTTGAGACTTTGCCGGTGCCCTGCTTACGATGCCTTTGCCACGCTCTGTAGTTTGGAGGAGGTTTTAGTGGGCCTGGTTCTCCATGAGGAATCCACAACTACAGCCTGCAAGGCTTAACTGTATAAATGTTTGAACAGTTTGTGAAAAGGGCACATGCGAAATCGGGGGGAAACAGAGGGAGAAAGAGCTTTCCAGAGAGCAGTACCAGCAGGTATGAGAAGGCGTGGCATACGTGGAGAACTGCAGGTGCTTAGATTGGTCAGAAATGCAATCCACAAGGGGCTGTGGCAGGTGCTCACGTTGACAGAGGTGCATGACATCAGAGCGGCCTGGTCAGCCTCGGGGAGTATAGGAAAAAGCATCATGGTCTTGAAGCATCTCCAGTGCCTAAATTATCCTAGCTGCATTTAAGGAGGTTCTGTTATCTATGGGAACTTCATGATTTCCTAAATTCAACATTATGATGGTTTTTGATAATAAGAGCTTACATTTATTGAGAGCTTCCTTTGTGTTTGGCTCTGGGCCAGAATTTTAGATACTTCATCTCATTTCATCTTTTTTTTTTTTTTTTTTTTGAGCTGGAGTTTCGCTCTTGATGCCCAGCTAGTTTTTGTATTTTTAGTAGAGACAGGGTTTTTACCACGTTGGTCAGGCTGGTCTCAGACTCCTGACCTCAGGTGATCTGCCCACCTTGGCCACCCAAAGTGCTGGGATTACAGGCATGAGCCACCGTGCCCGGCCCATTTCATCTTTATACTAATCCGTTTGCAGAGAGAGAATCCAAGTCGTTAAGTGGCTTGCCTCAGGTCAGCAGCGAATCACTGGCAGAGCAGAGCAGAGCAGAGATGCCTAGCTTCAGAGCCCTGCTCTTGACCACCATCTTTTTCTGCCACACGCTTTGTATCTGCACTTCTCCTTCATTTTTTTTTTTTTTTTAATTATTGTTCTTTTTTTGAGACAGTCTCACTGTCGCCCAGGCTAGAGTACTGTGGTACCATCTTGGCTCACTGCAACCTCTACCTCCCCGGCTCAAGCAGTCCACCCACTTCAGCCACCCGAGTAGCTGGAACTACAGGCCTGTGCCAACCACACCTGGCTAATATTTTTAAATTTTTTTTTATAGAGATGGGGTTTTGCCATGTTGCCCAGGCTGGTCTCGAACTCCTGGTCTCAAGCGATCTGCCCACCTCAGTCTCCAAAAGTGCTGAGGTTACAGGCATGAGCCCGTTCCCAGCCTCCTCTTCATTTCATTATGGGGAATATGAAACTGGGAAGAGTGAGACTCACTGAAAAACAGACTTAGCATCTAGGAAATAGGGAAAAATCATTTCTCCATATCAGAGCTCAAGATCTGGGTCGATTAGAATAGAGGGAGCCTGGCAGAATCCAGAAGAGAGACTCTGCCTCTTCCAAGTCTGTCCTCTCCAACTGGATACGGTGCCGGAAATGCAAGAGATAGGATGGGCCCTCTGGCCACGCTTTTCTCCACCCTTTGGTTGCTTTCTTCACTCGAGGGCACCGTGTTGCCATGCTCCCTCCCCAAGGGCCCGCCCATACTTTTGTTTTTTTAGGATGGAGTCCATCCACTTCTCTGCACTGAGTCAGCCCCCAGAGGGCGAGTTGCCACTTGTATCCTAGAGCTGGGCAGGGCTGCCCAGCACTGGAGAACTCAGCTCCAGGACCCTGGGGCCAGCCTTGTTGAGCAGCAAGCTCTAATGAAGAGCACACAGAACAGGCTTCCACTGCCTGGGACCCGCTTAGCACCATGTCACTTAGCCTCTCTGGGCTGCAGCTTCCTCGTGTATAAAATGAAACAACTGAGCTATAAGCTGGAGCCTGTGAAGAGGAGCAGCCGTGAGGGCCCCCAAGTCCCTTTCCTCCATTTGACCAGAGCATCTGTACTTGGCTTCCATGATCAAAAGGTTCAAGGATGAAAATGACTCTGAAAGCCACCAATGTGATCTTTGTTCCAGCTGTGAGTCTGTGTGTTAGGGTCCCCAAGACCCACCCTAGATCGCTCAAAGGACTCCCAGGACTCAGCACAGAGTCACACTCTGATTTCGTTTTGAGACAGAATTTCACTCTGTCTCCCAGGGTAGAGTGCAGTGCCACAATCTCGGCTCACGGGTTCAAGAGATTTTCCTGTCTCAGCCTCCACATCTGTGCCTGGCCCATACTCTGATTTTTTATAGCAAAAGGATGCAAAGCAAAATCGGCAAAGGGAAGAGGCACATGGAGGAAAGTCCGCAGGTGTCCAGGGGTAGGCTTCCAGGAGCCCTTCCTGAGCTGAGTCACGCAGGATACACTTCATTGCTCCACCAGCAAGCTGTGACTGCACATGTGAACTGTTGTCTGCCAGGGAGGCTTATGAGAGACCCAGCGCCCAGGGCTTTTTCTGGGGGCTGGCCACATACGCACCCTCTGTGTAGCGTATGCCAAAATTCCGACTCCCAGAAGGAAAACAGATGTTCCTCATAAAGAAAACACATTGTGCAAACAGTGTAGGGACGGTAAGCCACCTTACCAGTTTGGGAATGGGAGGGATAAACTTGAAATCCAAATTCCCAGGCTGGGCGCGGTGGCTTACGCCTGTAATCCCAGCACTTTGGGAGGCCGAGGCAGGCAGATCACTTGAGGTCAGGGGTTCGAGACAGGCCTGGCTAGCATGGTGAAAACCCATCTCTACTAAAAATACAAAAATTAGCCAGGCGTGGTGGTGGGCACCTGTGATCCCAGTTACTCAGGAGGCTGAGGCAGGAGAATTGCTTGAACCTGGGAGGCAGAGGTTGCAGTGAGTCGAGATCACACTACTGCACTCCAGCCTGGGCAACGGAGCAAGACTCCGTCTCAAAAAACAAACAAACAAAAAACGCACACAAATTCCCAGATGTCAGCTAAGGGTTGACCTGGAAATCAGGCCCTTCAAAGGGCATTAGTGTTAGGCCTGTTACGTTAGCTCTTCTGCAGTCTGTGACTCTAAATTTTAGGAATTCCAATTGAATGCTGAAATAAACCCAAAGGGAATTTTTGTCCTTAAAATCGTGTCTTCCTCTGCCCTGGCAGTCCAACACCATTAAACAGAAGAAAAGAAAATGTAAAACCATCAAGTAATACTATTATTCATAGATCATACAATTACTTTTATATTTTTATTTTTTAATTTTAATTTTTCAGAGACAATTTCACTCTGTCACCCAGGCTGGAGTGCAGTGGTGCAGTCATAGCTCACTGTAGCCTCCAATTCACAGGCTCAAGCCATCCTCCCACTTTGGCCTTCCGAGTAGCTGGGACTTATAGGCATGCACCACCATGACCAGCTTATTTTTTTATTATTATTTTCTGTAGAGACGGAGGGAGGGGGTCTCACTATGTTACCCAAGCTCAAACTCCTGGACTCAAGTGATCCTCCCACCTCAGCCTCCCAAAGTGCTGGAATTACAGGCATGAGCCACCATGCCTGGCCTATTTTTGTATTTTAAAAAATAACAACATGTTCTGTATTTGAATAATCTGCCTTTTTTCAGTTAACAATTTAGCAGCCTTGTCTTCCCATGTTTTCAAGCATATGTTATACCACCATTTCATGTGGCTGTAGTGGATTATATTGTATCTCAAAATTAGAAAACAGTTCTTTGCAAGAAACCCTATACTGCCATAATAGGGTATCGCTGTTTTCCACTTTGGTATGGGACAATGACAGCCTTGCCAGGACAACAGGAGCCATTGCCTGGAAGACCAGGTGGGGAGGCAGCAAGGCCTGCTCAAGGCAGCAGAGGGATGCGCAGAGGAGACACAGAACCTTCCTAGAGTCTAGGGTCCAGTTGTCTCCTGATGACATAAATCCTTAAGGTCATTTTAGCTGAAACTATAGGAGGCTCAAGCACATTTCGGTCAAACTAGAAGCAGGTTGGGAATGAAAGGAACATTATTTCCCAGAATAATTTTTTCTCTGTTGACTAACTTGAGGTATCTAGATTAACCGTGAGATACAAAATGTTGGCCAGGCGCGGTGGCTCACGCCTATAATCCCAGCACTTTGGGAGGCCGAGGCAGGTGGATCACCTGAGATCAGGAGCTCGAGACCAGCCTGGGCAACATGGTGAAACCCTGTTTCTACTAAAAATACAAAAATGAGCCAGACATGATGGTGGGTGTCTATAATCCCAACTACTCAGGAGTTGGAGGCAGGAGAATTGCTTGAACCTGGGAGGCGGAGGTTGCAGTGAGCCGAGGTCGCACCATTGCGGTCCAGCCTGGTGACAGAGCGAAACTCCATCTCAAAAAAAAAAAGAAATACAAAATGTTTGTTTTGAGATGGAGTCTTGCTCTTCATCCAGGCTGGCGCAATCTCAGCTCACTGCACCCTCTGCCTCCTGGTCCAAGTGATTCTCCTCCCTCAGCCTCCCATGTAGCTGGGATTACAGGTGTGTGCCACCACATCCAGCTAATTTTTGTACTTTTAGTAGAGACTGGGTTTTGCAATGTTGGCCAGGCTGGTCTCTTAACTCCTGACCTCAGGTGATCCACCCACCCTGGCCTCCCAAAGTGGTGGGATTATAGGCGTGAGCCACCCCATCCAGCCCAAAATGTTAAAGGAGAAAAAGATTATCCTAGAAATTGGGATTTACTGAAGTCTAGTTACTACAATGGGCACTCTGAGACCTCACAGCCAGAAACACAGTTCTAAAGCTATCAGCCTCTTTGGCCACACAACACACCAATTTTCACACATAAAATGTGTCCACTGCCAGCCAGTGACCCACTAAAAATGGCATCTTGTTCTTCTTTGGTTGTCGTGTTCACAGTGAATTTGAGGAAACATCAGAAAAGATGTAGGCAGCTTGGCCATGTTCATTTACATGTGTGCTTGTGATGTTTTTAAAACAGGTCAAAGGCCCTTTCAGAAGCAACTCCATTTCATTGGATAACTTAAAACCCTCCAGAGTGTACTGTTTACAAGTCCAGGCACAACTGCTTTGGAACAAAAGTAACATCTTTAGAGTCGGGCATTTAAGCAACATATCTTGCTACGAAACAATGGCAGATGGTAAAATATACCTTCTTATGTCCTTTCTGAACTGGGAAAAGAATACTCCTCCAATAGTGAAATCGGGGAATGCTTATGAGGTCATGGGTGGTGGGAGTGGGGAGACCCAGTGAGAAGAGTGCTGAACTGCAGGAATAATGAGCTTGTGCTGAGATTTGCAGTAGTGGAGGCTACCAGACAGCTACCACTTGCTTTATTTCATTACAGGATTGACTTTAGCTATTAATGTAAGCATACCAGGTGAGGGTGGGGGGTAGAGGGACTTGCCCATTTTACTAGGACAGGAATGCTCTTTAAGCAGCATGGATGGAACATTAACTGATGTTTGTGTTGTGCGTAGGAAGATCATTCTGTTCACTTTCGTGTCCTCTTTTTAGCCTCCACTGAGCTTCAGCAAGTCATCCTGATCTCCGTGGGAACATTTTCGTTGCTGTCGGTGCTGGCAGGAGCCTGTTTCTTCCTGGTCCTGAAATATAGAGGCCTGATTAAATACTGGTTTCACACTCCACCAAGCATCCCATTACAGATAGAAGAGGTACGTGTGCACACATCTCTTTTTTTTTTTTTGAGACAGGGTCTTGCTCTGTTGCCCAGGCGGGAGTGTCATGGTACAATCTCTGCTCACTGCAGCCTCCATCTCCCAGGTTCAAGCGATTCTCCTGCCTCAGCCTCCTGAGTAGCTGGTATTACAAGTGCTCACCACCATGGCCTGCTAATTTTTGTATTTTTGGTAGAAACAGGGTTTTGCTATGTTGGCCAGACTGGTCTCAAACTCCTGACCTCAAGTGATCCACCCACCTCAGCCTCCCAAAGTGCTGGGATTACAGGCGGGAGCCACTGCGCCCGGCCACGCAGACATCTTAATGGTGACACATCAGGGCCCCACTGCCCCTGGCAACCCCTAAGAGTGCAGCTGTGGGCAAAGCCGTGGACACAGAGATTTGGGTTACAAATGGTATGGGGTTGTTTGTACACCCATGTTCATGTTGACACGATTCACAACAGCCAAAAGGTGGAAGCACTCCGGTGTCGTTGAAGGATTAATAGATAAATCTTTAATAGATGGTCTTTCCATACAATGGAATATCATTCAGCCTTAGAAAGGAAGGGGATTGTGACACATCCTACCACACACATGGACCTTGAGGACATTATGCTGAGTAGAGTAGGGCAGTCACAAAAGGATACTGTCTGCTTCCACTTAAATGAGGTCCCCAGAGTCATCAAATCCATAAAGACAGGAAGTAGAATGGTGGTTGCGGTGGTGGAGGGAGGGAAGTGGGAAGTTCGTGTTGAATGGGGCCAGAGTTTCAGTTCTGGGGCTGTACAGAGTTCTGGAGATGGATGGTGGTCATGATTGCACAATGTGAATGTGCTTGGCACTACCGAACTGTACACCTAAAAAGAGTTATGATGGTACATTTTATGTTATGTGTATTTTACCACAATTTAATTTTTTTTTTTTAATGGCATGGGGTTGGCTAAAAAGGTGGCCTGGCCTGGAGATTGGCTGCAGTAGACCCCTCTCCGAGGCAGCAGGTCTCCTCTGCTGTCTGGAGAATGCTCCAGGGAAGTGGCCTGGCTGGAGGACGTGAAGGCGGTGGAGACAGTGATCAGGAGCTTGAGCTTTGGGGCCCACAGGGTGCTTAGGAGGGCCCTAAGGCAGAGTCAACACCCAGAGCTGTGAGTGCCAGGCCCCGTGTACCCATTGCCCAGTGGGTATTGCTAATATTTGAAAGGACTTGAGAAAGAACAGTAGCGTGGGTCTTGTGGAAAGTCTTATTTTCCTGCATAACCCCAGCCCCCTGAGGCTCTGTGAGGCCATTGGGCCTTCTGAGGACACGGTCAGGACATTTTGGGGATCAGAGGCGAGCTGAGAGAAGAACATTTAAAAAGCATTTGCAGCCGGGCGCAGTGACCCACACCTGTAATCCCAGGACTTGGGGAGGCCAGGGTGGGCAGATCACCTGAGGTCAGGAGTTCGAGACCAGCCTGGCCAACATGGTGAAACCCTGTCTCTACCAAAAATACAAAAATTAGCCGGGCGTGGTGGTGGGCGCCTGTAATCCCAGCTACATGAGAGGCTGAGGCAGGAGAATTGCTTGAACCCAGGAGGTGGAAGTTACAGTAAGCCAATATCGCACCATAGCACTTTAGCTTGGGTGGCAGAGCAAGACTCCATCTCAAAAAAATAAAATAAATAAAAAGCATTTGCTTCTGGAGGCTTCACATTATTCTTGGGTAAACCTAGAGTAAAGGTGTTGGAAGCAGAATGTTACTCAGTTACATGTGGGATGAACAGAGGTTAGATAAGGTCCAAGTCTGCAGAAACATAGCAGCACTTTCAGAAAGAACCCTAGTCACTTGTTCCTTCATCTGCCATGATGTATTGTAGGTACACAGGCAGTATACAGATTCCCTACTAGAACCTCCCTGGTTAATATTGTCACAAAATCACAGCTCCTAACAGGTCTCAGAATCTTACTTGCAGTAATAATCTCTCTCTCTCCTGGTAGAACTACCAGCTGAGCCCCAGTACATGAATATACTATGAGTCATTCCTCTGAGACATGAACAGAAAACACAGGCCTGTCAGTTCACTTTTCTAGGAAAGCATAAAGAACATCCGCCAAAGGTCTCTGAGTTACATGGGAACAGTGAATCATGTTTCACTTATAATTCTGGGGTTTCACAAGGGTACATGTTTTGGTTTTGTTCCTCTTTCAGTCAGTCAGCTACAAGCTTATTGTCTTCCAGTATCTTTCAGCATTTCCAAGAGCTAGACACTAGATTCTTGGTAACTTGGTGAATCTATGGCTAAGCCTAAAGCCTGCGGGAGCAAAAGGGAAATTAATCGCTGGGAAACACCCCTTTATATGTTAAGGCCTAAGGCCCTCGCTCCCAGATTCTCTGCTTGCTGTGCGCTGGTGCAAGGGGAGGGGTGGAGGAGTGCCTGAGACCAATGCTTGTGAACTTGCCCTCTTTTTCCCCATCACAGCTGAACAAGAGCCCCCAGTCCCTCCTTCACTGAAAGGTTACAATTTTAGAGACGTCTTAAGATTAATAACCCACAGGCCTACACTGAGGGTTGCAAGGAAGAACTTGCTTTTCTTCCAATCAGAAAATCAGAAGAAAAAAACAAAACTTGCTTTTCCTGAGTTTTGCCCTTTTAAACTCTCAGCATATTAACATGGTCAGCCCTGGGATGAGTATTAAAGTGATTACTGAGATGAGGGGTAAGGAGTATTCAACTATTAGAAGTTGTTGGCTGGGTGAGGTGGCTCATGCCTGTAATCCCAGCACTTTGAGAGGCCGAGGTGGGTGGATCATGAAGTCAGGAGATCGAGACCATCCTGGCCAACAGGGTGAAACCCTGTCTCTACTAAAAATACAAAAATTACCCAGGCATGGTGGCATGCGCCTGTAGTCCCAGCTACTTGGGAGGCTGAGGCAGGAGAATCACTTGAACCCAGGAGGCGGAGGCTGCAGTGAGCTGAGATCCACGCCACTGCACTCCAGCCTGGCAACAGAGCAAGACTCCGTCTCAAAAAAAAAAAAAAAAAAAAAAAAATTAGCCAGCCGTGGTGGTGCACGCCTGCAATCCTAGCTACTTGGTTGGGAAGCTGAGGCAGGAGAATTGCTTGAACCCAGGAGGCGGAAGTTGCAGTGAGCCGAGATCGCGCCACTGCACTCCAGCCTGGGCGAAAAAGAGACTGACTCAACAACAATAAAAAATTGTTGCCGGGTGCAGTGGCTCACACCTGCAATCCCAGCACTTTGGGAGGCCGAGGCGGGCGGATCACCTGAGGTCAGGAGTTCGAGACAGCCTGACCAACATGGGAAACCCCGTCTCTACTTAAAATACAAAATTAGCAGGGTGTGGTGGTGCATGCCTGTAATCCCAGCTACTTGGGAGGCTGAGGCAGAGGTTGCAGTGAGATGAGATCGTGTCATTGCACTCCAGCCTGGGCAACAACGTGAAACTCCGTCTCAAAAAAAAAAAATTGTTTCATTGTTGAATAAAAAGAAAAATAAGTTATGTCATTGGTGGACAGAATCAACTTATATCTGAATAAAATAACTATACCAATTAAAACTAAAGTAGGCCAGGCGTAGTGGCTCACGCCTATAATCCCAGCACTTTGGGAGGCCAAGGTGGGTGGATCATTTGCGATCAGGAGTTTGAGACCAGCGTGGCCAACATAGTGAAACCCTGTCTCTACTAAAAATACAAAATTAGCCAGGCAAGGTGGTGGGCACCTGTAGTCCCAGCTACTTGGAGGATTGAGGCAGGAGAATCGCTTGAACCTGGGAAGCAGAGGTTGCAGTGAGCTGAGATCACACCACTATACTCCAGCCTAGGCAAGAGTAAGACTCCATCTCAAAAAAAAAATAAAAATAAAAATAAAATAAAAACAAAAACTAAAGTTAAAAGGTCTGGTATACTGAACTGGTAAACTAATTACAATTTTGCTTTCCAACCTCCTCAAGTATTTAAAAGACCCAACTCAGCCCATCTTAGAGGCCTTGGACAAGGACAGCTCACCAAAGGATGACGTCTGGGACTCTGTGTCCATTATCTCGTTTCCGGAAAAGGAGCAAGAAGATGTTCTCCAAACGCTTTGAACCAAAGCATGGGCCTAGCCCACTGGCTCCCTGGAAGAGATCAAGCCATCGGAGCTGCTAGAGTTCTGTCTGGACTTTCCAGAGACCAGTATTCCCTTTTGCTGCCTCTAAAAGGCCTGTCCCTGCAGACATGAGAGACAGCAGGTCTCATGGGGGTGACAAGCTTTTTTTTTTTTTCTTAAAGAATTTTCAAAATCAAATTCCAGAATGATTTTACGGAGATATCCCAGGAAAATTAAGGCTTCTCTTAAACACTAAAAAGGCATGTAATTGCTTGTTAGCAAAATGGATATGACACATCTCTGATACTTTTTTCATTATTGGTTGGGCTGAGCAGTCAGAAGACCTGGTCGTCGTCTTGACTTTGGCAAATGAGCCGGAGCCCCTTGGGCAGGTCACACAACCTGTCCCAGCGAGGGACACCGAGTGGCCCTTCATGTACATCCATGGTGTGCTGGCTTAAAATGTAATTAATCTTGTAAATATACTCCTAGTAATTTAAGATTTTGTTTTTAAACTGGAAATAAAAGATTGTATAGTGCATGTTTTTTAAAGTCTATGTGAAGTGTTTTCTTTATTGTAGCCTATTTTCTGCAGAGTTTCAGCTTTCTAAAATTACTCAATCTAAACTTGTTTTTTCTTAAATAACACCTGCTAGAGCTACTGAGGCCTCATGGGAACTCAGCAAACACTTCCTATGGATGTCACTTGATCCTCCAAAGGTTATAAAGAAGGCCAGGGCCTAGTGCAGTGGCCCACGCCTATAATCCCAGCACTTTGGGAGGCTGAGGTGGGTGGATCACTTGAGGCCAGGAGTTCTAGACCCACCTGGGCAACATGGTGAAACCCTGTCTCTATGAAAAATGCAAAAATTATCCAGGCATGATGACATGCACCTGTAGTCCCAGCTACTTGAGAGGCTAAAGTGGGAGGATGCTTTAGCCTGGGAGGCGGAGGTTACCATGAGCCGAAATGATGCCACTGCACTCCAGCGTGGGAGGCAGAGCGAGACCCTATCTCAAAAAAAAAAAAAAAAAGAGGGCTGGGCATGGTGGCTCATGCCTGTAATCCCAGCACTTTGGGAGGTCAAGATGGGAGGATCGCTTGAGGCCAGGAGTTTGAGAACAGCCTGGGCAACATAGTGAGACCTTGTTTTCACAAAAAATAAAAAATTAGCTAGTCGTGGTGGTGCACACCCGTAGTCCCAGCTACTCAGGAGGCTGAGACCAGAGGATCATTTGAGCCTAGGAGTTAGGAGTTCAAGGCTGCAGTGAGCAATGATTACACCACTACATTCCAGCCTTGGCAACAGAGCAAGAGACCCTGTCTCAAAAATATAAAAGTTATAAGGGGGATTTGCAGAAGGCACATTAGCACTTCATTTATATGTGACAAGTCACACTGTGTTGACCAAGGCAGGGATTTGTGGGCAATAAAGAGAATTAACTGATTAATCAATAGTAATGTTATCTACTGAGCACGCAAGTCATCTGATTGTGTCAGTACTGTCGGGCTCTGTTGTTCAAAGGATATGTATTTAAAATCCATTTATAGGCTGGGCACGGTGGCTCACACCTGTAATCCCAGCACTTTGGGAGGCCGAGGCAGGCAGATCACCTGAGGTCAGGAGTTCGAGACCAGCCTGGCCAACATGGTGAAAGCCTGTCTCCACTAAAAGCACAAAAATTAGCTGAGTGTGGTGGCAGGCACCTATAATCCCAGCTACATGGGAGGCAGTTGGGGCCCTGTACTGCTGGTAAGAAAGTGGCTTTTTTTTTTTCTTTTGAGACAGAGTCTCACTCTGTCGCCCAGGCTGGAGCGCAGTGGCGCGATCTCAGCTCGCTGCAACCTCCACCTCCCAGGTTCAAGCAATTCTCCTGCCTCAGCCTCCCGAATAGCTGGGATTACAGGCGTGCACCACTATGCCTGGCTAATTTTTGTATTTTTAGTAGAGATGGGGTTTCACCATGTTGGCCAGGCTGGTCTCGAACTCCTGACCTCATGATCCACCCACCTTGGTCTCCCAAAGGGTTGAGATCACAGGCGTGAGCCACCGTGTCCGGCAAAAGTGGCTAACTCTCTTAAGTGTTGTGTACCATGCTGTCTGCAGTGGCAAGAGTTAGAAAAACAAGGCCCACTCCCACCCCATGCACACAAGTCTCCCTGTGAAGCATCTGTTGTATGCATTAGGTGCACCTTAAGTAGACAAGTTTGGAGGAAGAAGTTGTAGATAGGAGTTGTAAAGACTTACCTTAGACCGTTCAGGAAATCGGAGACAGAAGAGCTTCTTCTGTTGGGCAGCAGGATGGTGGCCAGCGAGGAGTGGAGGATACATCTATAGCAGGAGAACAGGAAAGAGTTTCAGCCCAGCAGGACAGAGGGCAAATCAACTCTGTTAGGGTAAGTGCATCTGTGCCACCCCATTTATTTATTTAGAGACACAGTCTCACCCTGTTGCCCAGGCTGGAGCGCAGTGGCACAATCTCACTTCACTGCAACCTCTGCCTTCCGGGTTCAAGCGATTTTTGTGCCTCAGCCTCCAGAGTAGCTGGGATTACAGATGTGCGCCACCACACCCAGCTAATTTTTGTATTTTTAGTAGAGATGGGGTTTCACTATGTTGGTCAGGCTGGTCTCAAACTCCTGACCTCAGGTGATCCGCTCACCTCAGCCTCCCAAAGTGCTGGGATTACAGGTGTGAGCCACTGTGCCCAGCCTTAAATAGTATTTTCTGAAATGAAATGCCTCATTCTCCTTAGTAAAATAAATGACTAATTGATGGGATTAGTATTTACACTGTCAAGGCCAGGCGCAGTGGCTCACACCTGTAATCCGAGCACTTTGAGACCCTGAGGTGGGTGGATCATGAGGTCAGGAGTTTGAGACAAGCCTGGTCAACATGGCGAAAACCTGTTTCTATTAAAAATACAAAAATTAGCTGGGCGTGGTGGCTCACACCTGTAATCCCAGCTACTTGGGAAGCTGAGGCAGGAGAATCACTTGAGCCCGAGAAGCGGAGGTTGCAGTGAGCTGACATGGCACCTCTGCACTCCAGCCTGGGCAACAGAGCAAGACTCTGTCTCAAGAAAAATAAAGTCAAGCTAAGTACATTGTCAAAATTTTTGAGTTGGAAGCACTCTTATAAATAATCCGTTGACAGGGCATAATCCATAACCTACTTGCCAAATCAGCCCATTCCCTGTTTTTGTAAAACCCGTGTGCTAAGAATAGCTTTTACATCTTGGAATAGTTAAAGTCAAAAGAAGAATATTTCATCACACATGAAAATTCTATGATATTCAAATTTCACTGTTCATAAATATTTATTAGAACCCAGAAGGTAAGCTGCGTGTAGTGGTTCACACCTGTAATCCCAGCACTTTGGGAGGCTGAGGTGGGCGGATCATTTGAGGCCAGGAGTTTGAGACCAGCCTGACCAACATGGTGAAACACCGTCTCTACTAAAAATACAAAAATTAGCTGGGCATGGTGGTGCATGCCTGTAATCCCAGCTACTCAGGAGGCTGAGCGAAGGGAATTGCTTGAACCTGGGATGCAGAGGTTGCAGTGAGCAGAGATCGTGCCACTGCATGCCTGGTGACAGAGCGAGACTCTGTCTCAAAAATAATAATAAAATAGGCCGGGTGCGGGGGCTCACGCTTGTAATCCCAGAACTTTGGGAGGCTGAGGCAGGAGGGATCATGAGGTCAGGAGTTTGAGACCAGCCTGACCAACATGGTGAAACCCCGTCCCTACTAAAAATACAAAGATTAGCTGGGCGTGGTGATGTGTGCCTGTAATCCCAGCTACTCAGGAGGCTGAGGCAGGAGAATCACTTGAACCTGGGAGGCAGAGGTTGCAGTGAGCCAAGATTGCACCACTGCACTCCACCTGGGCGACAGAGCAAGACTCTGTCTCAAAAAATAATAATAAAATAAAATAACGTCTCTGTCCATAGTGTTTAAATCACATAAAATGGACTTCTGGCAGGGCACGGCGGCTCACACCTGTAATCCCAGCATTTTGGGAGGCTCAGGTGAGCGGATCGCCTGAGGTCAGGAGTTCAAGATCAGTCTGGCCAACAAGGTGACACCCTGTCTCTACTAAAAATACAAAAATCAGCCCAGCGCAGTGGCAGGTGCCTGTAATCACAGCTATTCAGGAGGCTGAGGCAGGAGAATCGGTTGAACCCACAAGGTGGAAGTTGCAGTGAGCCCAGATGACACCACTGCACCTCAACCTGGGCAACAGAGCAAGAATCTGTCTCAAAAAAAAAAAGGACTTCTTGGTACATAACATTTAAAGAAGCCTGCATAGTCACTATGGCCACTATGTCTTTGAAGTGCCACAACAGAGAGAGGCTCTCTGAAAGGAAATGATACTGATTTGGGAATAGGGTATTACAAGGGGAACACGTGTGCCAGAGTAAACTATGTACATATTTAGGAAGGTGAAGGAAAACAAAGGTTCTTAAAGGAAAAAATGAGGATTAGATCACTGTTTTAAGATAATTATCCTTGGCTATAAGGATCAATAGCAAGGGGGATGCCATTCCAAGGTTAGACAGGCAGTTGTTGGGCAGATGTCCTCATAGAAGTGTTTGTTGTGTAAGGCGGTGAAGGGCTTTGTGCAAGGTTGAGATTTTTGCAGTCTTTTGTGATCATTTTTATTTATTTATTTATTTAGAGACAGAGTCTTGCTCTGTCACCCAAGCTGGAGGGCAGTGATGCAATCACAGCTCACTGCAACGTCTGCCTCCTGGATTCAAGAAATTCTCCTGTCTCAGCCTCCTTAGTAGCTGGGACTACAGGCATCCGCCACCATGCCTGGCTAATTTTTTGTATTTTTAGTAGAGATGGGATTTTGCCATGTTGCCCAGGCTGGTCTTGAACTCCTGACCTCAAGTGATCCACCTGCCTCAACCTTCTAAAATGCTGGGATTACAGGCATGAGCCACCACGCCCGGCCTTGTGATCATTTTTGTTATCAAGCATTTTTGCATGAGAATCCTTCATGGCCTTCCCCAGCTCTATTTGTCAGGGTTTTTTATTTGTTTGCTTGTTTGTTTGAAGCACAAGTGACTCCATTTTGATTCTGACAACTTCCACACTATGCAGTCACATCTCTGAGGCGCCCAGAGCCCTTCAAAATATATTTGCTGTTTGCCAAATAGTCTCTATTTGAGATGAGAACATCCCCAGCTGTCCTTCTGTTTGATGAGAAGTGAGACTCCACCCCAGCAGCTTCCGGAGATGCAGTCATGCCTCCCCACCCTTCACTGCCACTCCCAGCCTCCCTTGAGACTCAAGGACTGTCCCACGGGAATGAAGTGAAAGTGACGTCTTTCTCCTTGTTTCCAGTCTGTGGTGAGGGAAAACAGCTGGCTACGCTTGAGAGGGTATGGAAACTGGTCAGAGTGGTTACTTGGGACCTGGGGCCTCAGAGCCACCCGTTGCTAAGGAGAGGACTCTGGTCAGGGCAACTTGCCAATGCTCTAGGAATGACACCTAGACATTCCTAAAAAATGATAGCCTAAAAATTCATCCCATTGTAGAAATACAGGCAGCACTAGCTTCTCTGGGCCCCTCAGTTATCAAAAAAAGAGGAGGGAGGCAGACCCTCAGGGTTACTTTACATCCATATACCTAGCTACAACATAAACATCAAATGATATGTGGCCAGGCGCGCTGGCTCATGCCTGTAATCCCAGCACTTTGGGAGGCAGAGGCAGGCAGATCACTTGAGGTCAGGAGTTCGACACCAGCCTGGCCAACATGGAGAAACCCCGTCTCTACTAAAAATACAAAAATTAGCCAGGCATGATGGTGCATGCCTGTAGTTCCAGCTACTCAGTAGGTTAAGGCATGAGAATCGCTTGAACCTGGGAGGCGGAGGTTGCAGTGAGCAAGATCGTGCCACTGCACTCCAGCCTGGGCTAACAGAGAGAGACTCTGTCTCAAAAAAAAAAACAAAACAAATCAAAACAAAAAGCACAACATATGATATTAATGATTTTCCTTGAAATTAAATAGTGGTATGAGTAACAATGTATAATAACTGTAAATATTAATTCAACTCGTTTCATTTCTACATTCAGGTGAATAAAAATATCTGATCTATTCTCTGTGGGTAATAAGAGTATTTTTGTATCTGAAAAGCCTAAGAGAGGGTCAAACCCTTAAAGAGCTGGTAAGTCCAGGTAGGAGGACCCTGAGGTCCTTGGAGATGGGCAGGTACAAAATTTTGCCTGGCATAAAATTCAATTAATCAATCAAACTAATGTGTTTCTTGACTATTTACTTTCTGAAATTTTCCTGTGACCCTTAATACAACTGTGAGTACCTTCAAGTGTCCTCCAGATCCAGACACTTCTCAAGTGGCCAGCCCCATGCTAACTACTAAAATAGTGGAGCACCAGTAGTCGGGGCTGTGGGTACATTCCTGTAGGCTGTGCACCGCACAACCCCACAGGTGCTGTTGACCTAAACAGAACACAAAGGCACACAGCAACTGCTAGTAGTCCTGATACGTAAGCCACTCAAGTTCCAAATGCCTAGTCACAGAAGACAAAGACTGAAGAACCATTCCAAATATTAGAGACACTGCAGGGATATGACGACTAAATGCAACGTGTGACCATGGGCAGGATCCTGCCACAGAAAAATAGTATTTTTCTTTACTATAAAGTACATTACAGGGGTAATCTGAAGAATTTGAATAAGGCACAAAGTACTGTATCAATGTTAATTTTCTGACTTTGGCATCGTATCGCAGTGATGTTTGGGGGGAAATATACACAGGATTCAAGGGTAAGTAAACAGGCGTCACATCTGCAGCATGCTGCCAAACATTTAAAATAACAGACCAAAGCAAATGTAGTAAAATGTTAACTTCTGGGAATCTGAAAGGTTATACAGGAATTCTTTGTGGTTTTTTTTTGTTTGTTTGTTTGTTTTTTTACAGAGTTTCGCTCTGTCGCCCAGGCTGGAGTGCAATGGCGGGGTCTTGGCTCACTGCAACTTCCGCCTCCTGGGTTCAAGCGATTCTCCTGCCTCAGCCTCCCAAGTAGCTGGGATTATAGGCACCTGCCACTACGCCTGGCTAATTTTTGTATTT
The DNA here is from genome assembly GCF_000001405.40 of Homo sapiens. Taxonomy (NCBI): domain Eukaryota; kingdom Metazoa; phylum Chordata; class Mammalia; order Primates; family Hominidae; genus Homo; species Homo sapiens. Next base: position 38,651 of record NW_003315970.2, read on the forward strand.
TTAGTAGAGATGGGATTTCACCATGTTGGCCAAGCTGGTCTTGAACTCCTGACCTCCGGTGATCCGCCCACCTTGGCCTCCCAAAGCACTGAGATATAGGCGTGAGCACCATGCCTGGCCTCTTTGTGCTATTTTTATAACTCTCCTGGTAAGTCTGATGTAATTTCAACATAAAAAGTTAATCTCAGGCTGGGCGCAGTGGCTCACGCCTGTAATCCTAGCACTTTGGGAAGTTGAGGTGAGCAGACCGCTTGAGCTCAGGAGCTCCAGACCAATCTGGGCAACATGGTGAAACCGTGTCTCTACAAAAAATACAATTAGCCAGGCATGGTGGCGTGCGTCTGTAGTCCAAGCTACTCAGGAGACTGAGGAGAGAGGATCTCTTGAGCCTAGGAGGCAGAGGTTGCAGTGAGCCGAGCTCACACCACTGCACTCCAGCCTGGGTGACAGAGCCAGACCCTGTCTCAAAAAAAAAAAAGGTTAATTTCTAAACTCACAACTTCCATGGTGGGAGGGAAGTACACTGATCACACTGAATAATGTTTTTGGCACCAGGAGTAGAAACTGTTGGAGCACAGACCTGTACTATAGTCCCAGCTACTCGGGAGGCTGAGGCTGGAGGGTCACTTGAGCTCAAGAGTTCCAGGTCGAAGTGTGCAATGTTCATGCCTGTGAAAGCCACTGTACTCCAGCCTGGGTAAAATAGTGAGACTCCATCTCTTTACAAAAAAAAAAAAAAAAAGAAAGAAAAAGAAACAAAAGAAACTGCTGGCTGGGTGCAGTGGTTCATACCTGTAATCCCAGCACTTTAGGAGGCTGAGGTAGGCAGATCCTTTGAGCCCAGGAGTTCGAGACCAGCCTGGGTAACATGGTGAAACCCCATCTCTACAAAACATTAACAATTAGCCAGGATGTAGTGGCATGCACCTGAGCTACTTGGAAGGCTGAGGTGGGAGGATCGCTTGAGCCTGGGAGGTGGAGGGTGACAGAGTGAGACCCAGTCTCAAAAAAAAAAAAAAAAAACCAGAAACTGCTGCTGGAAAAGAGCACAATTTACATCCTTTTTGGAGAGCTCTCTGGTTTTATGTCTAGACCTCTGGGGTGGGGAAGAGGTCAACATGCTCCCCAAATCAAAGACCCAGCACTCTCTACACTGGCATAATCCATGAGGGTCTAGGCAGCCTGTCCTGCCATACTTACTCAAAGAAATTTAAAATATCCTATCTGCCACAGCTGAAAGAATTGAAGAGGCATTTACTGCTATCCAAAACCCTAAGTAAAATTACTTAAGCTGTGATAAAAGTGCTACAAAAAAATGCTCTGGCAGGCTCTAAACTTGGAAGTCTTGTTTTTCTTAGCATGGCATGCCACCTTGTGGCAAAAAGCTAAAAAGTCATCAGATGAGAAAGGAAACATCCCTTCAAAAGTCATCATAAGAAATGCCGGGCACGGCGCCTGTAATTCCCTGCACTTTGGGAGGCCAAGGCTGGCGGATCGCTTGAGGTTAGAAGTTCGAGACCAGCCTGGCCAACATGGCAAAACCCCATCTCTACTAAAAATACAAAAACAATTAGCCAGGCGTGGTGGCATGTGCCTACAATCCCAGTTACTTGGGAGGCCAAGGCACGAGAATGGCTTGAACCCAGGAGGCTGAGGCTGCAGTGAGCCACTGCACTCCAGCCTGGATGACAGAGTGAGACTCTGTCTCAAAAAAAAAAGGAAAAAAAAAGCCTACTTGTGTGAATCACTTATTATTTCCAGGAACTTTGTTAAGCATTTCCTCAGATTAATTCTCAAACATACTTACAGACAGGGAAACAGTCTTGCAGTCAAATAGCTAATAAATGGCAGTGCCAGAATAAGGGAATAAGGGAGAAGTAAACCAACCTAAACTTAAATCCATAGGCCTCCGAGAATCCCAGCGCCCAAACCACAACTGTCTAGTAACAACGCAATTGGAAGAATTCTTCCTACTGTGCCCTCCTGCCACCATTTTTATTCCCCATAATCAGGCTGGCCACAGGCTTTTCCCAAAGCCAGCCATGCCCACACCTAAACATTTTCCTCTCCTTTTGTTAATTCCCTGTGTTCTATCTATTCTAAAGCCACCATAGCAGCACTTTCCCCAAATTACATTTTTCTTTTATTTTTTTTATTTTTTATTTTTTATTTTTTTTTGAGACAGTCTTGCTCTGTTGCCCACACTGGAGTACAGTGGCTTGATCTGAGCTCACTGCAGCCTCTGCCTCCTGGGCTCAAGCAATTCTCCTGCCTCAGCATCCCAAGTAGCTGGGATTACAGGCATGTACCACCATACTTGGCTAATTTTTTGTATTTTTAGTAGAGATGGGTTTCACTATGTTGGCCAGGCTGATCTCGAACTCCTGACCTCAAGTAATCTGCCCGCCTCGGACTCCCAAAGTACTGGGAGTACAGGCGAGAGCCGCTGTGCCTGGCCCCAAATTACATTTTTCAACATGTTCCAGGAGATAAATTTCCAAGTCTCAGTAATAGAAAACACCATATAATTGACACCCTCCTCCTAAAGACATACAATACACACACACACACACACACAAAAAAAAAAAAAAAAAAAAAAACCTCTAAGAAAGAAAAGAACTTTACAGAATTTTAAAAAGGTGTTTTGGAGCCTAGTGTGGTGATTTGCACCTCTAGTCCCAGCTACTCAGGAGGCTGAGGCAGGAGGATCACTTGAGCTCAGGAATTCAAGACCAGCCTGGGCAACATAGCAAGACCCCTCTCTAAAAAAGACTAAGCAAGAAGGCGGGGCGCAGTGCTCACGCCTGTAATCCCAACACTTTGGGAGGCCGAGGCGGGTGGATCACCTGGGGTCAGGAATTTGAGACCAGCTTGGCCAATATGGTGAAACCATGTCTCTACTAAAAATACAAAAATTAGCCGGGTAGGATGGTACCCACCTGTAACCCCAGCTACTCGGGAGGCTGAGGCACGAGAACCATTTGAACCTGGGAGACAGAGGTTGCAGTGAGCTGAGATTGCACCACTACACTCCAGCCTGGGTGACAAGAGCAAAACTCCATCTGAAAAAAAAAAAAAAAATCAAGAAATAAAGAAAGAAAAAACATGTTTAGACCTAGTTCAGCCCAGGGTTTCCCAAGCTTCTTTGACACACACACCTTTTCTCAGGTACACCTTCAGGGCCACCAGTGTTCTAAAAGCAACTTGGGAAAGGTGCAACTAAATCTAAAAAGGAGAGCTGAGTGTGGTGGTGCACACCTATAGTAGACTGAGGGGAGGACTGCTTGAGCCAAGGAGTTCAAGGCAGTAGTGAGCTATAATCACACCACGGCGTTCCAGCCTGGGCAAGAGTAAGACACTGTAAAAAGGACTCCATAAAAAAGAACAATGAAAACAAAGACTCCTGAGTTGATGTTGTGACTGAAAACCCTTCCACTGGGGAAAAATGTAGAGATCATGAGTTCAATGCACCCATGTCAAACCCTCTGGGGGCTCTTGCTCAAGGGGCCAAATTATATGGTTTGATATCATCAATCTTTCAGTCTTCCAATTTCATTATGTTGATGCAAATCAATGTCAAGTCAACGTCTTGTGTATAGAAATACACACACACACACACACACACACACACACACACACACATATATATATATACTGGAAAAATACAGCCTCTGGGTTTTTACTCAGTGGCAACAGCACAAGGAATACAAGGATCTTAGAGCAATAAAATGGAATACTCTGATAATATTGGTCCACACACAAAAAACACTCAGATTCAATGACCACTGAATCTATGTGACAGCTTGAGAACCTTAGTAAGGGAATCACATGCATTTGTAGATGATTACCAAAGATTCTGCCCTAACTCATAATATTTCTAAGAGTGGATACTAACATTATCTCTTTTATGTTTTTATTTATTTTTTATTTTCTAGACGGAGTCTCGCTTTGTCACCCAAGCTGGAGTGCAGTTGCACGATCTTGGCTCACTGCAACCTCTGCCTCCCGGGTTCAAGCAATTCTCCCTGCCTCAGCCTCCCGAGTAGCTGGGATTACAGGGGTGCACCACCACGCCTGGCTAATTTGTTGTATTTTTAGTACAGACCGGGTTTCAGTATGTTGGCCAGGCTGGTCTCGAACTCCTGACCTCATGATCTGCCCGCCTCGGCCTCCCAAAGTGCTGGGATTACAGGCGTGAGCCCCCACGCCTGACCACATTATCTCTTTTTTTAAAATGAAGAAACAGAAAATTAAGTGATTTGCTCACAACTAAAAAACAAATTCAGGGTTGGGTGTGGTGGCTCATGCCTGTCAACCTAGCACTTTGTGAGGTTGAGGCAGGTGGATGTGTTGAGACCAGTTCACCCAGAACAGCATAGTGAGACCCCCGTCTCTACAAAAAACAACTTTTTTTTTTAATGACATGGAGTCTTGCTCTGTTGCCCAGACTGGAGTGCAGTGGCACGATTTTGGCTCACTGCAAGCTCTGCCTCCAAGGTTCACGCCATTCTCTTGCCTCAGCCTCCCAAGTAGCTGGGACTACAGGTGACCCCCACCACGCCCGGCTAATTTTTTTGTATTTTTAGTACAGACAGGGTTTCACCATGTTAGCCAGGATGGTCTCGATCTCCTGACCTCGTGATCCGCCCACCTAGGCCTCCCAAAACATTTTTTTTTAATTAACCAGACATAATGACACGTACCTGTGGTCCCAGCTGCTTGGAAAGCGGAGGTAAGAGGATTGCCTGAGCTCCAGCATTTGAAGGTGCAGTGAGCTGTGGTTGCACCACTGCACTCCAGCCTAGGCAACAGAGTGAGATATTGTCTTTAAAAAAAAAAAAAAAAATTCATGGCAGAGTCAGAAATAGAAAAAAACAGCCACCATTTCCAGTCAGTCTTCAGGGAAACCTTCAATAACCCTCACATAAGCATTTTACAAGTCTATTTCTTCTTATTTTATAAACATAACTGCATCTTTAATTGGGTATACTTGAATAATTGAAAACTGAACAGCAAATCAATTTTTATGGTTCATTTTCTCCAACAAACAACAATATTAAACTGTATGAGAAGTAATATTTATTGCAACAGGTTATGAGGTGGAAACAAATAATTAGTCTTACAATTTGCTAGAAGCATGACAGAGCTTACTAACATTTTGAAGAAAAAACAGCAAAGAAAGAAGTCATCAAACAAGATGGTATCTTGACAAAGGCACAGCGCTCCACAACTGCTTCATACTCTGTGCACAAGAAATCCTCTCAAGAGAGAGGAGAGGAGTGATGCCAAATGGGCTTACATTAGAGCCGTGGACACTACCACTGGTATTATTCATACAACCAAGGCTCTACAACACCCCTCTGGAGAAAAAGTGCAACACAAAATCTGTGTAACAAAGGAAAGCAAAAGTAGCAATAAGGGCCCAGAGGAATACAAACAGTGCAAATACAGTACTGCAAACTCAGTAAAAGGAGTTTTTGATTGGAGTATGAACTTTCAAGTTGAAGATATATTTCACAGGAATATTCACCCAAAGCTTGAGAGCTAGAGCGAGGAGAGACTTGCAGTCGGTAACTGAGTAGATGAAATGCATAATTTTTCACTAGGTGATAATTCCCTTTGGGAAGAAGTGCTTTATCTTTAATTATTCCACTTTTTGTTAAATGGTTCATGCTTTTAAACTGCGATTGTCTCAAACTTGCTTGCTATTGAATTGTGTAACATCAGATAATGGCAAGTTGTCAAAAGATAACCCCAGTGGATATTTGAAGCTGCTTTTACGAGAAGCATGGTGCTGAGCTGCCTTACACAGTCTTTTTACAGTAACCATAAAAAACTGAGTTTATTTGATCATGTATTATCCCTTCTCACATAAAGTCATATTAGAGGAATTCTTTTTAAAAGAAGCTTTCAAACTAGTCCTTTGGGCATTTAAAAAATCATTATATAAAAGTACACTTCTTCAATACATAAGAACAAATATTTTTTCTTTACCAAAAAAACCTCATTTTTAGGCCAAAATAAGTTACAACTTGCTGAAAACCTTTTATGGCTCAGTGCTCATTCTAGATATATGAAGCTATATTTTTTTGTACATCTTCAGAAATCAGATACTGAGAGTGGTCCTTCTTTTTTTTGAGAGGGAGTTTCACTTTCTCCCCCAGGCTAGAGTGCAGTGGCGCAAACTCAGCTCACTACAACCTCTGCCCCCCGGGTTCAAGCGATTCTCCTGCCTCAGCCTCCTAGGTAGTTGGGATTACAGGCACCCACCACCATGCCTGGCTAATTTTTGTATTTTTAGTAGATGGGGTTTCGCCATGTTGGCCAGGCTGGTCTCAAACACTTGACCTCAAGCAATCGGCCCGCCTCGGCCTCCCAAAGTGCTGGGATTACAGGCATGAGCCACCGTGCCCAGCCAGAGAGACAAGAGTGGTTACTTCTAAAATGACAAGATGATGTAACCCTGGCTCAGGGAGTAGATCAAGTTCTAAATCTCAGGAATAAAAAACTGATACTCATTATCCAATTCATATAGTCTTGTATTATATACATATTAACAGTCTATGCAATGAAAAATAAAGAAATTTCATAAAACTATTTCAAAACTCAGAACATAAAAATGTAAAGAAACAAAACATTTAATGTACAATCTACTCCATTTGGCAATGTGTACTGAGAGATAAAAAACCTATCTACAAACAGAATATAACAAAAGGAAAATGTGACTTAAGAAGTGATCTCAGGTCCATAGCTCTTCGGTTCTTCCAAATTTGTAGATCAGAGTGCTAGAAAGATAGGAAAACAAATCATGAGGAAAAAACCGATGGAACAAGCAACACAGAATTCATTTTCTCAATATGCTTTGACAGGTACTTCACTGATTCCTATCAATTTTAAAAATTAAATTAGACATCATGGCAGTGTTGGTCTTAATTTGCTTATTTTGTAAAGCAGTCTGTTAACTACGATGGCTAAGCATAACTGTATTCTTTCTTAAGGCCTGGGAAGTTATTAACAGGCAACTTGTAAGGAAAAGAGACATTTCTCTATGACTCAGAAACAAAAAAATGAATCAATAAATCAAAAGAAAAAGGGAGAGAGACCATTCTCATAGTGACAGGCATTAGGGCCATTTTATGTCTCCAGGAGCCTACCATATCTAAATTACAGTAACTGAAGCACCCTACAACAGACCATGCTGCAATTCTTCATTCCTTCAACAAATAATTATTGTGCACTGAAAAGTGGCTACGTACCAAGCACCTAAGTGCTGGGGTGAGACTGAGTCCAGACAAACTTGCTCCCTAATGGAGCTAAGGGTCTAATAAGGAGACAATCAAATAAATATAAAATTCCACCTATAAAAAAATGCTATAAATGAGAGGTGCACAGTATCCTCAGAGTGAAACATAAGGATCAGACCTAGTTAGAGAGGTCAGGAAAGGTTTTCCTGAGGAGTGGTGACTGAATTGAGATCCAAAAGAAGAGGGGGAATTATCTCGGCAAAGTGAGAGAGGATAAGGAGGCGGGAGCAGAGAGATGGGACACTCCAGGGCCATGAGTTGAGCTGTGGGCATACTAAATGTTTTGGATTTGAAATGTCAGCAACCCAAGAAGGGATGTGAAGTAGGAATCTGGATATACGGTTTAGGCCTGGAAAGGGACATCTGTGACTCACTGGCATATAAGCAATAATTGGAGTCCTAAGTACACATGAGTTCACCCAGGGACAGAAAAATAACAAGGAGTTTCTTAAGGCCAAGAACAGCTTTAAGAGACTTCAAAAGGTAGTAGGCAGGGAGTGGAGGATCAGCTTGCAAGGAAAACAGAGGAGTGACCAGAGATGTAAATAAAAGAGGTTGTACCCCAGAGCTTAGAACAGGTCCAGCACACAGGAAGCATACAGGCTGCCTGATAACTTGCCAGCCTCTGGGCAGAGCACATAGATGACACAGCTGTCAACTATGTCCACCTGAGCATACAAGGTTTCTGTTCATCCAATTGTCATTTAAGTGGATTCATCTACCACCACAAAGTGTTGAATCTGAACTTAATCTCTAAAGACTGCCTAAAATGTCTTCATAACAACTTACCATATCCCCAGAAGGCTGTCAGTCACATGTCTTTGACATATAAGACAGCAGAAACTGCCAAACATCTTTCAAAACCAGGAGTGTCAAGGCCACAAGGCGAAATCCAGGTAGAGCATGGTGGTCTGAGAGTGGAGGGAGACCACATGGCTAGAGTTTGCCATGCAGCGTACAGACAGCCACACAGAGGGAACGCAGGAGATCTGCAGGGGGTGCTCCTTCAGTCTGTGGCTGAGTACTGAAGAGTCTATACATAAGAGGAAACTACCCAAGGGAAGGAAAGAACCACTGGAAAGAACATGTCCCAGAGCTACCACAAGGCTGGAAGAGAGTTCATACTCTCACAAGTCGAGTAGAGAAACCTCGGAATACATGAAGCATCAGAGAGTGGAAACACTCAAAGGGTATGACTGCCTTAGTAGGGGGACAAATCAGTCCTGGGCTACAGCTGCTCTGGTCCTGCCTATAACAAAGCTTAAGAGACATAAAAGGATCAAATTGTTTCTGATTGTTTCTGAGTCACCTAACTGCATCCCAAAACAAAGCTTAAAAACATTTAAAGGACTAGCAAAGATCCAGTCCCAACAAATTGTATGCAAAGCACCAAATAAGGGAAAATAGGTCCAAAATGAAGAGTAAACAGAAGCAGAAAAAATCAGTAGAAGCAGATGCAGAAATGACACAGACAATTGGACAAGGACCCTGAGATAGCTATAAATATACTCTGTGTGTTCAAGGTGGAAGAGGGCATGAGCATGTTAAGGGAAGACATCAGAAATATTTTTAAAGACCCAATCAAGCTTCTAGAGAGAGAAAATACAATGTCTGAGATGAAAAAATCATTGGATGGCATAGATTAGACATTGCAGAAGTAGAGATTAATTTATTTAATTCTTCAAAGTGACAATAGAGAGATTAATTTTATTTATTTATGTATTTATTTATTTTGAGATGAAGTCTCGCTCTGTTGCTCAGCAATGGTGTGATCTCAGCTCACTGCAACCTCAGCCTCCCGGGTTCAAGTGATTCTCTGGCCTCAGCCTTCCGAGTAGCTGGGATTCCAGGCATGCACCACCATGCCCAGCTAATGTCTGTATTTTTAGTAGAGATGAGGTTTCACCATGTTGGCCAGGCTGGTCTCGAACTCCTGACCTCAAGTGATCCACCCGCCTTGGCCTCCCAAAGTGTTGAGATTACAGGTGTGAGCCACCATGCCCAGCCGAGATTAATTTTAAAATGTAACAATAGAAACTATCCAAACTGAAACACAAACAGGAAAAAAAAATCTGACCATTAGCAAGCTGTGAGACAACTTCGAGCAGCCTATTATAACCTGTAATTGAAATCCCAGAGGGAGGGTGCAGTGGATACAAAAAATGCTTGAAGAAATAATGGCTGAGAAGAATCTAGATTTATTGATGAACTATAAACCTATAGATCCAAGAAACTCAATATACACCAAGCAGAAGGAATATCAAGAAAACTAGACCACAGTACATCGTAATCAAATTACTTAAAACCAGTGACAAAAGCAAAGTTTTTCAAGGCTTAGAAGTTACTTAATGATTTATGGGGGATGGGGACAGAGGCAGATAAAATTTTATAAATATATACCTAAATATCCTATGTTGACATTAAAAGACATTCATTCTAGGCTGGGCATGGTGGCTCACACCTGTAATCCTACCACTTTGGGAGGCTGAGGTGGGCAGATCACTTGAGGTCAGGAGTTCGAGACCGGCCTGGTCAACATGGCAAAACCCCATCTCTACTAAAAATACAAAAATTAGCTGGGTGTGGCAGTGCATGCCTGTAATCCCAGCTACTTGGGAGGCTGAGGCACGGAATTGCTTGAGCCTGGGAGGCAGAGGTTGCATTGAGCTGAGATTGCACCACTGCACATCAGCCTGGGCAACAGAGCGAGAATCCAGCTCAAAAAAAAAAAAAAAAAAGACATTCATTCTAAAAAGCATAGAATGGACTTCATTTTGGGGATATTTTAGAAGACTGCCCCTAAAAAATACTTTTAATATTGGTTTATTTTTCCACTTACTTTAACTTTTCTTAAAAGGGCATTCAGAAAACAGAATTTCCCAACAGGTTTTGTATATAATATGCATACTATGTATTAATTATTATTATTATTTTGATATGGAGTCTTGCTCTGTCACCCAAGCTGAAATGCAGTGGCACTATCTCGACTCACTCCAACCCCCGTGTCTCCTGGGTTCAAGTGGTTCTCCTGCCTCAGCCTTCCGAGTAGCTGGGATTACAGGCACACACCACCATGCCCGACTAATGTTTGTATTTTTATTAGAGATGGGGTTTCACCATGTTGGCCAGGCTGGTCTCGAACCCCTGACCTCAGATGATCCACCCACTTCAGCCTCCCAAAGTGCTGGGATTACAGACATGAGCCACCACACCTGGCTGGCCACTAGGTATTAATTCTGGTTTTTCCTTTTTTCTTCATAAAGGTACTTTACCTGTTGTTGTTAATTTTTTTTTTCCCGAAAGGCTAGTCAAGTGAAACAATGGGTCTGATAGGGTTTTTTAATAAGACACAGGCTATGGAAGCAGCAGTCTGGATTCAAATCCAGGCTTCTCATTTACTAGCTAGGCATCCTAAAGCAAGCCCTAAACTTTATTTCCTCATCTATAAAATGGGAATAACACTGGGTGTGGTGGCTATAATCCCAGCACTTTGGGAGGCCGAGGCAGGCAAATTGTCTGAGCTCAGGAGTTCGAGACCACTCTGGGCAATATGGTGAAACCTCGTCTCTACTAAAATACAAAAAATTAGCTGGGTGTGGTGGTGTGCACCTGTAGTCCCACCTACTCGGGAGGCTGAGGCATGGGAATCGCCTGAGTCCCGAGGCGGAGGCTGCAGTGAGCCGAGATTGTTCCACTGCACTAAGGCAGCTTGGGCTACAGGGTGAGACTCCCTCGCAAAAAATAAATAAATAAATAAAAATAAAAATAAATAAAATGGGAATAACACCTGACATATATTTAAAATAATTAAATGCATTATTTTATTTTATTTTGGTCTCACTCTATTGCCCAGGCTGGAGTACAGTGGTGCAGCCTTGCCTCACTGCAGCCTCAACCTCCTCGGCTCAAGCAATCCTCCCACCTCAGCCTCTTGAGTAGCTGGCACTGTACACCACCACAACCAGATAATTTTTATATTTTTTTATAGAGACAGGGTTTTGCCATGTTGCCCAGGCTGGTCTTAAACTCCTAGACTTAAGCAATCCACCCACTTCAGCCTCCCAAAGTGCTGGGATTACAGGCATGAGCCACAGCACTTGGCCTAAATGTGAATTCAAAGGGTAAAATATATAAAGGATCCAGCTAAAGTCTTGATACACAGCAAGACCTCTAGTTAAAAGGCCTCTCTGCTCTTATGTAACAGTGGAATTCTCACCTTTTAAAAGAAGTTCTATCATTGTAACCAATCCATGGGATTTATATGTGTTCCATATATATGCTGCCTTAATTAAGTTGACATTTCTGTAAATGTTACAGGCGTGGTTAAAAAATAAGGCAACTTACCTAAAAAATATAAGTGCATTTTGAAAAAACACAGCTAGTCCCGGATAAACATCAGTATCTACATACACAAAGTAAAACAGATTAGACGGTTATATAGGCAAACGGCAGTAATAAAGTATCAGTGCCATTCATAATGATACATTTTGTATATTACAACATACTGCTATTATTCATTAACTGTAAGACATCTATAATGAAACTGAAAGAAGAAAATGCCAATTTAATTCCCCCAAAGCAAAGGACTGCTCTTACTCTGGATAAAAGTCAATGAACTTACAAAGTTTTCTTTTAGTCAAAGTAATTGCTGGTTCTAGCTACATCAAAACTGCTGAGGAAGCAGTAACTTGCTCCTTTGCCTCCTATGGCCAACACTGAAATGCAAAATCGTAAAAACATACAAAATAAATTCTTGACTTTTAAACAGTCTGTTAATTTATTTTCTTTCATGAATTCAAGAGGTTTTTTGTGTTTGTTTTTAAAGAAATGGGGCCTCACTATATTGCCCAGACTGGAGTGCAGCAGCTACTGACAGGCACAATCATAGCAAACTACAGCCCAAACTCCTGGGCTCAAGTGATCCTCCTGCCTCAGCGTCCCAAGTGGATGGGACTACAGGCACACACCACAATGCCTGGCTCTCAATCCAGGAGTTTTATCATGCAAATATGTCAGATATAAATAACACAGTTAGAATTTATCATTCTCTTTCACTGAATCTATCCTGGAGGAAATGGTTACTATCTTTATAGGAAAAGAAAAGAAACAAAATGGAAACTACTTAAATTTTTGTGGATTATTAACTTTTGTAAAACTACAAATGTTGATTTAAAAAATACTGGAGAAGATGAAGAAACTGGTTCAATTCTGAGCTCTTGATATCATAGCAAACAATACAGCAGCATGGTTAAGAGCTCCAAGTTTGAGCCAGACCCAGGTTTGAATCCTATCTATACCAATGACTAACTGTATGACCTTGGGCAAATTATTTAACCTCAGCATATCTTCATTTCCTCACCTGTAAAACGGGCATTGTAATAGCACCTACTCCAGAGTGTAAGAATTAGATGAGTGACTCTATATAGTGCTTAGAACAGTATCTAGCCTATAAAGTAATATATAAAAGTTAGCTATTACTATGAATATTAATAGTTCAAGCAAATCTGTACAGTAAAAGATTTGAAACATGGCCTAGAAATGCTCTCTGAAATAAAGTCATATTCACTTTACAAATAGAAAAGTATATTTAGGCTGGGTGTGGTGACTCACGCTTGTAATCCCAGCACTTTGGGGGGCCGAGGCGGGTAGATCACTTGAGGTCAGGAGTTTGAGACCAGCCTGGCCAACATGGGGAAACCCTGTCTCTACTAAAAATACAAAATTAGCCAAGTGTGGTGGTGGATGGCTGTAATCCCAGCTACTTGGGAGATTGAGACAGGAGAATCACTTGAACCCAGGAGGCAGAGGTTGCCGTGGGCCAAGACTATACCACTGCACTCTAGCCTGGACGACAGGGCGAAACTCCATCTTAAAAAAAAAAGAAAAGTATATTTAAATGAGTAATGCTGTTGAAATAGAAAGATGAAATTCACAATCAAGAAATTTATCAATATTTACTAGTTCTTTAAATATTAAGATACAATTGGCTGGGAGCGGTGGTTCATGCCTGTAATCCCAACACTTTGGGAGGCCAAGGTGGGTAGATCGTCTGAGATCAGGACTTCAAGACCAGCTTGGCCAACATGGTGAAACCCTGTCTCTACTAAAAATACAAAAAATTAGCTGGGAGTCGTGGCAGGCGGCTATAATCCCAGCTATTCGGGAAGCTGAGGCAGGAGAATCGCTTGAACCCGGGAGGCAGAGGTTGCAGTGAGCCGAGACTGTGCCATTGCACTCCAGCCTGGGCGACAAGAGTGAAACTCCAACTCAAAAAAAAAAAAAAAAATACACTCAACAATAGTAAAGCCTTTACAAACAATATTTCCCTACATACCTTACAGAAATGGCAATTTATCCCTATTTTCACTATAGAAACTGTAAAGCTCATGGATCACTTCAACTGCTAAAGTAAATAAGCAGGAAGCCATTAACCTGAGGCTATCTCCCTACTCTGAGTTCCTGTGTGACCCCAACCCACCCCCCGGAACCTAACTTACGTAAACGAACTGAAACCTAGGGTTATATTTTTTAATAAATAGCTGAATTTTAGTCAATCACAAACGGCTAAGCTTTAGCCAATCCCAAGCAGCCAACTGATGAGACCATGCACAAATAAGACAAACATATAGCTACAGACAATCTAAAAATTTCTTGTCTTTGCCTTGTGTTCAGCCTACAGCTGCTCATGCTGCTGGGTGAAGCTCTCCGAACCTCTTCTTGGTTTGCTCAAATTGCTAATTTATCTAAAGTTTTTCTTTAACATAACTATGGAGACCTTTTAAGAAAATCAGTGACAGCAGCCCACCCTTCTTACAGTCAGGGATAAAATGAGTTTAAAACACACTTTCCGGCTGGGCACAGTGGCTCACGCCTGTAATACCAGCACTTTGGGAGGCTGAGGTGGGTGGATCACCTGAGGTCAGGAATTCGAGACCAGCCTGACCAATATGGTGAAACCCCATCTCTACTAAAAATACAAAAATTATCTGGGCGTGGTGGCATGCACCTGCAGTCCCAGCTACTTAGGAGGCTGAGAAAGGAGAATTGCTTGAACCTGGGAGGCAGAGGTTGCAGTGAGCCGAGATCACGCCACTGCACTCCAGCCTGGGCGACAGAGCAAGGTTCTGTCTCAAAAAAACACTTTCCTATAAGATTCCATGTGTATGAAATAGATACAGACAGAAAGTACATTAGTGGCTGCCTAGGGCTAGGGGAAGGAGTAATGGGGAGTGACTGCTAATGGGTATGGCAGTGATAAAAATATTCTCAAATTGGATTGTGATGATGGTAGCATAATTCTGTGAAAATACTAAAAACACTGAACTGCATATTTTAAATGGCTGAATTATATGGTATGCAAATTATATCTCAATGAAGCTATCTTTAAAAAAGCATTTTCCTTCAGATATGCTTCATACCAGAATTATGTGCTCTAGTAGTATTTTTAATTAACTAAAAAACACATTTTAGATACAGTTGGTGACCAATGTTATTTAAGCCAACCACTGTCCTCTTGTAATCTGACTTATTTTGTATCAAGTGAAAGACAAAAGAAAAACAAAAGTATTCCAAAGATCTTATACTGATCAAACTATGAGACTTAAATGATACTATCAAAAGTATTCAAAAACCAGCTGTGAGTCAGGACAAGGAGATGTGACAGTTAAGCAAAGAAGGCTGACAAAGAGATTCCAGAGGTAGAGGAGTCAGAGGATGAATAAATTGCGTTCTCTGAAACTGACTCCTGTCTTAGGAGCAAAGGAAGAGGGCCAGTGAAACAGTCTTCCGACGCTTCCAGAGACATTTCTGAAACTGGGTTCTATTTTTCATCACTACTGTGAATGAAAAGCTATGGCACCTGGCAGAGCCACAGATTTCAGCATGGTGTAATAAGAGCTCATCCCACTCCATCAGCTGTTTCTGTATGAAGAGTATACATATGTGTTCAGTCTTGCCCTTAAAAAACTCCCCCTGTACCCATGACTTAAAAATTACAGGATTGGCTGGGCATGGTGGCTCACACCTGTAATCCCAGCACTTTGGGAGACCAAGATGGGTGGATCACTTGAGGTCAGGAGTTTGAGACCAGCCTGGCCAACATGGTGAAACCCTGTCTCTACTAAAAAAATACAAAAATTAGCTGGGTGTGGTGGCGTGCACCTGTAATCCCAGCTACTTGGGAGGCTGAGACAGGCAAATTACTTGAACCTGTGAGGCGGAGGTTGCAGTGAGCCGAGATCACACCACTGCACTCCATCCTGGGTGACAGAGTGAGACTCCGTCTCAAAAAAAAAAAAAAAAATTACAGGATTAGGTTGGAGAGAGAAGGTGTCAATGAAACGAAAGATTATCTACTGGCAATCCATAGATTATCAGATAAGGGGTCTATACCCCTTATCTGAAATCCCTGGGGCAAGATATATTTTGGGATTCAGAATTCTTCAGGTTTAAGAACAGTAAGGGAAAGCACATATACTACATAGCACCGCCAGCTGGGTATAGACAAGCACATCCTATAATCTAATATATCTATTTTCATTCCTACAATAAAACATTTGAATACTTACACTAAATGGGATAAAGAAAATAGTGAGCTCCATGTCAGTTTAGGTCAGGTTTTGCTGCCAGACTAGTTATAAATAACTTGATTTTCAGCATTTTGTGGATTTTAGAATTGTATATAAGGGAGTGTACACCTGTACTGGTTTCTCACTTTTTCTACTGCAACTCCCAGTAAATGGGCCTCTAGCATAAAATCCTGGCTGTCTAAGGTAAAGAAGGAAAGCAGAAAGTCTGGAGACAGCTGAGAGGTACCAGCTTTGTCAGTGGCTTGGATTTCCTAACCAGGGCTATCCTACTGCACTAAGTGTTCCCACTGACAAGTTTTATTAAACTCATGTATCTTCACACAGAGCAGTATCTTCAATCTAAGTGAACAATTATACTAAGTTGTACTCAAGGTAGAGTAAGCCAAATATAAAAGACATATCTGAATCTCTCCTATAAAATACAAGAAGAATATATACTTACTTTGGGTAACATATGCACCAAAAAGAATCCACATGGAAGCAATAAGTGACCCAAACATCAACATGAAACCAATGAAAAGCCAAACTCGAGCACCTGTGTAGAGAAGAGGCTTTATGATTTTGTTCATTTTTGCAGCTCTGTAACGTCTTAGGAATACATAATACTAGGAGCCCTGTTAGCCTAGTATATATTATGCATATCAAAGATAGTCATATATTTATATAAATCTGCTGTAAGTTAAATGAATGATGATTTAAAAAAAAAACACTAAAAGAAGTTAAACCATACATGGAAAAGGAAAAAAAGAAAGTTACCTTTTTACTGACTAGAGAAACGAATGCCCTAATTAAAAAATTACACTGTTGTATATATTACCAAAATAATTGCTCTATTAAAAGTAGCACATGTATTCTGGATAGCCATCACCACATAGGAATGAGAGACTTCAAATGAAGAAGGACTAATATGTCCCTTTTTAATCAATGGTAAGCTTCTATAATCACACCATTATTCAATATGGTACAAATAACGGCCATTCTTTAGGAGTATATTCAGGCTTTTTTATTGCTGAGGCAGCCAATCTGTACCACATATTCATGAAAACTTCAAGATCAGAAGTATCTCTTCAACCCTGTATTGAACAAAATTCTAGATCTCGATAATGTAAATCATCTGGACACTTGAGTAGATTCAACATATTTTTAGGAAAGCAGGTTAATACTTGCACCAGATCCTGTTCACAGGTATACTGACAGCCCCATCAACCTCTGGAAGGGGAAGAAAGCTCCACTGAAGTAAAAATAAAATCCTAGCCAATTTCCATAACAGAAAACTAAATTTGCCTCAGTTGCAAATATTTTGTTACCAGGGAAAAGATTCATTTTAGACACCAGATAAGGAAGAAGCACTGATCAAAGTTCATAATGGTTAGAACAGCTGATATCTGAGAGAAATAGGTCTCTATATTATCTAAATTTTATTACAATACTAAGCAGATCTCCAGAAATAAACAGTAATGTTTAGTTCTTTGGAGAAATACAATCTCTAAATTATATTCAATCATAGCTTTTATCTAACGTGAATAAAAGGAACTATTAAAAATCCTTAAAGGCGGGGCATGGTAGCTCACACCTGTAATCCTAGAAATTTGGGAGGCCAAGGTGGGCGAATTGCCTGAGCTCAGGAGTTCGAGACCAGCCTGGGCAACATGGTAAAACCCTATCTCTACTAAAAGAAAAAAAAATCAGTCGGGCTTGGTGGCGGGTGCCTGTAGTCCCAGCTATTCAAGAGGCTGAGGCAAGAGAATTGCTTGAACCTGAGAGGCAGAGGTTGCAGTGAGCCAAGATCATGCCACTACACTCTAGCCTGCGCAACAAAGCAAAACTGTTTCAAAAAAAAAAAAATCCTTACAATTATTTTCCATCATGTCCTTTATTTATGGCTATATACATTAAACTTTCTAATAGAATTAAACAAGAAAAAAATTTCTCTTGTAAAGTAAGTATGTCTGAGGGCATATTAACAAAAAGAGAAAAAAAAGAAAAAGAAGTATGCTTTTGTTTAGCAAAAAAATAAAACTGTAACATTTTCTCTTGTTTGCTTTGGCTACAAGGAAGCTCTGAGTTAAGGTTAATGAACAATTAAAAGCATCCATCTTGTCCCAGGTTCTAAGTACAATGATCATTTTTCTACCTAGTTCCTGTTCTTTTTTATAGTTTTATTATTTAGCTGTTTCATTTATAGTATATTTATTATTTTGATACTTTCCTATTAATTCCTCCGGGAACTAAATAGAGATAGTTTACAGATAAACCACTTAAGCAGTACAAAAGCTTAAGAGTAGCAATACCTGGGCATGACTATAAGACAGTTTGTCCTTAATTTTTGAAACACTAAACAGAAATTGCACTATATGCACAATATAAAAATATAAACTGTACTGTTAATTTTAATAGAATAGGGAATATCATAGAATAAAATATAATAATCACTTAGGGTAAAAACGACAGGCTTGGGAACCAGACAGACCAAAGACAAATACAGGTTCCACTTTTAAGCTAAAAAACTTTGGATAAGTTACAGTGAAACTTCCTATAAAAAACAGATAATAGTGGCCAGGCACAGTGGCTTACACCGGTAATCCCAGCTACTCTGGAGGCTGAGAGGGGAGGATTGCTTGAGCCCAGGAGTTCAAGGCTTTTCTGCGTCATGATCATGCCACTGCACTCTAGCCTGGGCGACAGAGCAAGACCTCGTCTCAAAAAAAGATAATAGTAACATAATTCACAGCAATGTCCGTGGAATATTCTTGAAAGAAAAATGATGGAGTACATTATTGTATGCTCTACATACAACATCTTCACTTGCTAATATATATTTTTTCTTTACCTTCCCTCATTCCTGACATTACTGCTGAGGCTGACATACAGGATATGATGAAAAGTAAGCGCGATCGCATGCGCATACACACACATATTGTGCACTTTAAACTTAGGCTCATCTGTCATTTGTCATTATACCCTCTCGCAAATTCTCCATGGATTCCAGTAGAAGTGAGGTTACAAAATCTACATCAGCATTTAAAGCATCAGGTAGAAGGCTGGGCATGGTGGTTCATGCCTGTAATCCCAGCACTTTGGGAGGCCAAGGCGGGTGCATCACCTGAGGTCAGGAGTTTGAGAACAGCCTGGCCAACATGGTGAAACCCAGTTTCTACCAAAAATACAAAAACTAGCCAGGCGTGGTGGCAGGCACCTGTAATCCCAGCTACTCAGGAGGCTGAGGCAGAAGAATTGCTTGAGCCTGGGAGGCGGAGGATGCAATGAGCTGAGATCGCACCACTGTACTCCAGTCTGGGTGACAGAGCGAGACTCCATCTCAAACAAAATAAATACAAAATTTAAAAAATAAAACATCAAGTAGAAAAGAAAGCTAAGCTCTTCAAAGCTGCTTTATTTGGTTTAAAAGGCTATGATACTTACTATATGATCCCATTTATATGAAATCATAGAAAAGGCAAAGCAACCATCATAGAAAGTAGATCAGTAGTGGCCAGGAGGTGAGGGGAAGAGTATTAACTATAAAAAGGGGTATGAGGGAACTTTTTGGGGCAATGGAAATGTTCTGTATCATGATTGTAGTGGTAGTTACACAACTGTAACTGTACACATTTGATCAAGCTCATCAAATTGTACACTTTAAATTGGTGGATTCTGGCCAGGCGTGGTGGCTCATGCCTGCAATCCCAGCACTTTGGGAGGCTGATAGCTTGAGGCCAGGTGGATAGCTTGAGGCCAGGAGATCAAGACCAGCCTGAACAACGTGGTAAAACCCTGTCTCTACAAAAAATAAATAAATTAGCTGGGCACAGCCGCATGTGCCTATAATCACAGCTACTTGAGAAACTGAGGCAGGAGGATCACTCGAGCCCAGGCTGTTGAGGCTGCAGTGAGCCAAGATCATGCCACTGCACTCCAGCCTGGGTGGCAGAGTGAGACTCCGTCTCAAAAAAAATTAATAAAATAATAAATACATTAGTGAATTTTATTATACTTAAATTATATTCAATTAAGCTGACAAAAAGAAAAAATATACACGTGGTACCAAACCAGACAAAGTGACCAAATGGTTCTAGATGGGAAACAAGCACAGCATAGTGGCTAAAAGCATGGGCTCTGGAGCCAGACTGTCCGTGTTCAATCCTGGCTCCACCACTTACTTGCTCTGTGACTTTGGACACATTATGTAAGCCCACTGTACCTTAATTTCTTCATATTATAATGTAAATTTTTTTTTTTTTTTTTGAGACGGAGTTTCACTCTTGTTGCCCAGGCTGGAGTCCAATGAGGTGATCTCGGCTCACCGCAACCTCTGCCTCCCGGGTTCAAGCGATTCTCTTGCCTCAGCCTCCCAAGTAGCTGGGACTACAGAAGTGTGTCACCACGCCTGGCTAATTTTGTATATTTTTTAGTAGAGACGGGGTTTCTCCATGTTGGCAGGGCTGGTCTCGAACTCCTGACCTTAGGTGTTCCACCCGTCTCAGCCTCCCAAAGTGCTGGGATTACAGGCGTGAGCCACTGCGCCCGGCCGTAAATGTTTAAAAAACACAATTGGGCCGGGCTCGGTGGCTCACTCCTGTAATCCCAGCACTTTGGGAGGCCAAGGTGGGTGGATCACCTGAGGTCGGGAGTTCGAGACCAGCGTGATCAACATGGAGAAACCCCATCTCTACTAAAACTACAAAATTAGCCAAGCATGGTGGCGCATGCCTGAAATCCCAGCTCTCGGGAGGGTGAGGCAGGAGAATTGCTTGAACCCAGGGGGTGGAGGTTGTGGTGAGCCAAAAACCCACCACTGCACTCCAGCCTGGGAAAGAAGAGCTAAACTCCGTCTCAAAAAAAAAAAAAAAAAAAACAAAAATTGGATAACAATTCAAATGAATTCAAACTATAAAAACTAATTTATGTGTAGACAAATAGCATCTTTCTACTGAACAATTTTGTTGCAGTCTGTAGGTGGCTACTCAGGTGATCAGAAGTGAATGTAAAGACACTGTAGTCCTAGGTTTGATCCCCTAATGTGTTCATTACTTTCCTGTTAATAATCATAGTCAGCCATCTTGTAAGTAACATTATTGGTCAACAATTGGGATAATAATAAATCCATCATTAGCACTGGAGTCCAAGATCCATTTGAATAGCAACATTTTTTATCTATATCATGGGCAGTGTAACATGACAAAAACAGTAACTTCTAGCAATAACTTACTTTCTTAAGGATTTGAATAACACTAAAACTTTGTTTTAAAGCAAATAAAAAATATTCTATATAATCATTACCAGTCTTGAATAAAGACTCACAAGAGAGGCTTTTTTTCTGGTGACAAATTTCTGTTTTGTCAACACCCATTAACAGCTCAAAGTATCTTTACCTGTTCTTCCTAAACAGCCGCTTTCATAGCTATCACCTCTCACCTGAGCATTGGATACAGCATTTATCCTAGAACGGCACAAAATCATCAAATGAATTTCAGTATTCGCTGTTAAAATACTCAAATATTTATATAACACTTAGACGGAAAACAGATTATTTCATAACTAAAATCAGTATCTGAATAATTTAACATATTTTTAACCTAATAAAAATGCTAGTTGATAGAAATGTTACATTAGTCTTATTTTCATAAAGTACACCCAGAAAACACATTTATTTTAAGAGATTTCTATCACTTCTCTCCAGAGATTATACAAGAGGGACCAGTTTTCTGGATTCTTTGTCTATTTCACATTTATACATGAATGACTCAGTGCTATCCCACTTCAAGGTTCTCATTATTATCAAGAGTTAAACAGTTTCTCTTTGTGTTAAAAGTCAAGTGATTTTCTATGATCCATTTCTTAAGCTCAGAGAAAATGTAGCTTATGTATAATATGCCCACTTTATTCAGCTTCCCCTTCCATTTTTGTTAGAGCAAGGTACATTAATTAGTAACAGGAATTTCCTTTTTTTAGAAGCCACAATGGATATAAGTAGTTCCATTTTCCAAAATATAACCTTTTTAAAACTCCTGGCCAGGTGCAGTGGCTCACACCTGTAATCCCAGCACTTTGAGAGTCCACAGCAGGCAAATCACGAGGTCAGGAGTTCAAGACCAGCCTGGCAAACATGGTGGAACCCCGTCTCTACTAAAAATACAAAAAATTAGCTGGGCGTAGTGGCAGGCACCTGTAATCCCAGCTACTTGGGAGGCTGAGGCAAGGGAATCACTTGAACCCGGGAGGCAGAGGTTGCAGTGAGCCAAGATCACACCAGTGTGGTCCAGCCCAAACAACAGAGTAAGACTCTGTCTCAAAAACAAAAAAACCTCCTGATGGTATAAGGAAATGATGTAATCTTAATGTTTAATATTTTTTAATTGTTAAAAGACATCCATAAAAAGCTTCCAAGCTTTTTTATGAAATGAGGTAACATAAACTTAAAAATAATTTAATAAAAACAAAAGCCACAAACAAATCTCTTTTGAGGCCAATCTTGCCTTTTCCTCAAACACTGGCAAACACAGTCAAGTAGCACATTAAAAAAAATAAAAATAATACTGCAAGGTAAAAGTTGAGTGTACTACAACACCTACGGGTGATTTACTACTAAAAAAATGCAGAAACGTAACATGTTTCATGAAATCTCAGAGCCATCAGTTTTAAGATACACCATTAATTTTTAATACTGACAAGAAATAAAAATGTTATCAATTATAATTCTAAGATACCACTGACTGTAAGATGCATCCTGATATTCAGAGGTATTAAAATGCGAAAAAGTAGATCTTGCAACTGACAAAATATGTAACTGACCAGATTTAAAAATATGAGGAAAAAAAAAAATCACAAGATAATTGTTATAGGTGCTAAAAAGATATATGACCAAATCCAACACTCATTCTTGGTTAAAAAAAATCGTAATAAAATGGGAATTATGTATGTATCATGTTAAAAAATAGTCTATCAAATAAATTAAAAAGTTATTCAAGAAAGCACTGCACATTAACAGGAAAGTATTTTTAGAAAAATCACCTTGAATAGAGAATTATCTTCATACTTACATGAAGAAAGCCAATGTGGAAAATACACCACATGTGTGAAAGGCATGGTTCAACTGTTCTGGCTTAGGATACACCACAGCTGCATCAATCATTATCCACCAGCCTGTAAAAAACTTAAAACACAGCCCAAGTCACTGAAACATTAAAACTCTTGCTAGCACAATACCTGCTTTTTAACATTCCTTTTGTCCTACAGATCATATAAATGGGCTGGGTGCAGAGGCTCACGCCTGTAATCCCAGCACTTTGGGAGGCCAAGGCAGGTGGATTACTTGAGGTCAGGAGTTCAAGCCTGGTCATCATGGTAAAACCTCATCTCTTCTAAAAATACAAGGCCGGGCGCAGTGCTGACATCTGTAATCCCAGCACTTTGGGAGGCCAACACGCGCAAATCACCTGAGGTCAGGAGTTTGAGACCAGTCTGGTCAACATGGTGAAATCTCGTTTCTACTAAAAGTACAAAAATTAGCTGGGCATGGTGGCAGGCACCTGTAATCCCAGCTACTTGGGAGGCTGAAGCAGGAGAATCGCTTAAACCCAGGAGGTGGAGGCTGCAATGAGCTGAGATCACGCCACTGCACTCCAGCCTGGACGACAGAACGAGACTCTGTCTCAAAAACATTCAAATATAAATACAAAAATTAGCTGGGCATGGTGGCATGTGCCTCTAATCCTAGCTACTTGGGAGGCTGAGGCACAAGAATTGCTTGAACCTGGGAAGTCAGAGGCGGAGACTGCAGTGAGCAGACTGCTTCACAATTATCGTTAGTTCTTGCTCTGCTTCATTTCATTTTGTTTTTCTATTGGACTTTAGGTGTAGAACTGTACATTGAAAGAGATGAATTTTTAAAATGTAAACAGATAAAGAAATTTGCTTCCAAAAAATGCTGTGGGAGCCAGGAATGGTAGTATGAACCTGTAGTCCCAGCTACCTGGGAGACTGAGGCAGGAAGATTGCTTGAGACCATGAATTTGAAGCTGTAGTATACTACGACCACATCTGTAAATAGCAACTGTACTCTAGTAGCTGTACAACATAGCAAGACCTCGTCTCTTTAAAAAAAAAAAAAAAAAAAAAAGTGCGGACAGAGAGTGGTTGATGGAATTATAAACCAAGATAGGTCCTGATTTTGGGGTGTTTTTTTTTTTAAGCTGGATGATAGACACATGGGATAAAGGAGGTGATGGAATCTTTATACCATTCTCTCTGCTTTTGTTTTATGCCTGTCATTTTCAATTAAAGTTAAAAAAATGATGGAAAGAAAATTAAACAATAGTTTCCTTCACAAATCTCTTCCTCTGATGCTCCCCTGATGTTGCAGCTGGGGAAACAGAGATGGTATTTCTTCCCTAGAGCCGCTGCAGGGCTTCAGTTCCAATGGAGCCTAAGGTTGTTACTATTATCTGCAGAGTACTGTCACTGTTGTCTGACCTTCAATAAGTCACAACAATAATTTTGGGTTACATCAAATTCTGAGCCTTTAAGGATCTTAAAGTACTTACATATATGTTGTATCAGTAAGTTAAAAATGCTATTGCCTATAATAATTATATTATCACTGGAACTGAAGAAAAGATATTAAGTACACATTTACAAAGTCAAAATGAATCCAGGGCCTACCATATTCTGCTTGGCAATAGTATCTAGAACTCTGATAATCATCTATACAAAACAGCAGTGAAATAAATAGTTCTGGAAAGCCATTCTCAGTTCAAAGGAACCGGCATTAATTTCCAGGGCAAAAGGTAAGGGATACATGTCACCAACCAGTCTTTCTCACTTACCAATATACCTGCGACAACAGATGCCACAGCATTTCTTCTCTCACTCCAGTCAATACATTCACATTCTGGCCAACGAAAATTATCTAGGAAGCCTGCCATTTTTACTTCTTAAGCATAAATTTTTCATTAAATGCTGTATCCTACAAACAGAAAGACAAAAACTAATCAACCTAAGAAAATGTTTTCTAAAAGTAAAATACCTTACTCCTTTCTTAAAGCTTTACACACAACTTTACTTTAGGTCCTATTCTACTATAGTTAAGAAAAATTCAATACTTCAACAAGTACCTAATTGAGATGTATATAGGACTACGCTAGGACCCAAGGGGGAGCTTGCTATTTGATAAATGAGCACTATGGTTTTAAACCATGTCTAGGAGCTAGGTGCCGAGGTGGTTCACGCCTGTAATTCCAGCACTTTGGGAGGCCAAAGTGGGCAGATCACTTGAGGCCAGGAGTTCGAGACCAGCCTGGCCAATATTATGAAACCTTGTCTCTACTAAAAATACAAAAAATTAACTGGGCGTGGTGGCACATGCCTGTAATCACAGCTACTCGGGAGGCTGAGGAACAAGAATTGCTTGAACCTGGAAGGCAGAGATTGCAGTGCAAGATTATGCCACTGCACTCCAGCCTGGGCAACAGAGCAAGACTCTGTCCAAAAATAAATAAATAAATGAAATAAATTAAACATATCTAAAATATTTGACACTTCTTCCATTGAGAGGTAGATTTATGTCCTACCTTTGAATTTGGGTCAACAATAAAGACTAGTTGACCAGTAGAGTAGAGGAAGTGATGCTATGTAACTTCTCCATGCCACTTCCAAGATCAGGTCACAGAAGGCAATGGAGCATCTGCCTGGTTCTCTGGAACACTAATGCTTGGGCTACCATGCTGTAAGGAGACCATTTATAGGTGTTCTGACCCACAGTTACAGTTGAGGTCCCAGCTAACAGCTAGTATTAACTGCCAGACATGAGTAAAGACACTTTTAGGTAACTGCTATCCAGCTATAGCACCATCCCAAAAGTTTGAGCCTTCCCAGGTAAGGCACCAGATATATGGAGCAGAGATACATCATCCTGGCTATGCCCCTTCCAAATTCCTGACCCATAAAATCTAATAAACATAATAAAATGACTGTTTTAAGCCACAGGGTTTTGGCATTAATCTGTAACGCAGTAAGACATAACTGGAAGAAGGAGAAAAATCATATGCCTAAATAACTATAGGAGTGTAGCATACTATTTTTAAAAACAAAGATATTATGTAAACATGAAATGTTTCAAGGCCACCATAAATTCTAGAAAGAAATAAAAAAAAATTGAAAGCACTGGACAGGGCTGAAAAACAGGCAGAAATTGAAAGAAACTTCATCCTTGAAAGAAAGAAAACACAGCCAGATGCGTGGTGGCTCACGCCTATAATCCCAGCACTTCAGGAGGCCGAGGCGGGTGGATCATTTGAGGTCACGAGTTCATGACCAGCCTGGCCAACATGGTGAAATCCCGTCTCTACTAAAAATACAAAAATCTGAGGCAGGAGAATCGCTTGAACCCGGGAGGCGAAGGTTGCAGTAAGCCAAGATTGTGCCACTGCACTCTAGCCTGGGAGACAAAGCGAGACTCTGTCTCAAAAAAAAAAAAAAAAAAAAAAAAAAATCGGCTAGGCTCGGTGGCTTACGCCTGTAATCCCAGCACTTTGGGAGGCCAAGGCAGGCGGATCACGAAGTCAGGAGATAGAGACCATCCTGGCTAACATGGTGAAACCCCGTCTGTACTAAAAATACAAAAAAAAAAAATTAGCTGGGCATGATGGCAGGCGCCTGTAGTCCCAGCTACTCGGGAGGCTGAGGCAGGAGAATGGCATGAACCCGGGAGGCGGGGCTTGCAGTGAGCCACTGCCCTCCAGCCTGGGCAAAAGAGAAAGACTCCATCTCAAAAAAGAAAAAAAATCAGCCAGTCATGGTAGCATGCACCTGTAATCCCAGCTACTCAGGAGGCCGAAATAGGAGAATCATTTGATCCCAGGAGGCAGAGGTTGGGGTGAGCCAAGATCACACCACTGCACTCCAGCCTGGGCAACAGAGTGAGACTCCCTCTCAAAGAAAAAAAAAGAAAGAAAACACAGTAAGTGGGATCAGCTGTTCCCCTTAGGAACCCCATTAAACTCCCATTCCCAGCCCAGGGAGTCCCCTTGGCACAAAGTGGCCACAGTGGCAGCAAAAAGCCACAGTCTTCTTGGCTTGAGATGCCAGAAGATGGGAGTTCAGGACCACCATAACAGCTGGAAATTGAAGGGGGACATCTCGGAAAGGAGTAAGTCACAAAGAGAGCCCCAAACACTTTAAAATAAGGGAGACATTTTGGAATTTTCATTCCACCAAGTCAGGGAGGATCAGTAAACACCTTGGGGACATATCCTAACAAAATATAAAACCAAGTCTCCACAATTTCAAGGTGATCAGCCAATATTTTAACTGCCTGTTACAATAAAAAGCAATACTTTTCAGATGAAGATAACAAAATTGACTCATATTATTCACAACGTCCAATATATACTAAAAAAAATCACTAGACATGCAAAGAACCAGGAAAATGTGATCTATTTTTAAGGAGGAAAAAGAACAGTCAATAGAAATAAATCCCAAAATGACTCAGATATTGAAATTAGCAGACAAAGACTTTAAAGCACCCATTATAAAAATCATATTCAAGGACTTACAGGAAAACATGGTCAAAATAACTGAACCAATGGAGAATCTTAGTAGAGAAAAGGAAACTATTTTTTAAAAAAAGAATCAGGAGCCAATGTGATGGCTTGCACCTGTAATCCCAGCTACTCAGAAGGTCGAGGCAGGAAGATTGCTTGAGGCCAGGACTTCAAGCCCAGCCCAGGCAACATAGCAAGACCCTGTCTCTAAAAAATAAATTAAAATGTAAAAAGATTCAAATGAAAATTCTAGGGGCTGGGCGCAGTGGCTCATGCCTGTAATCCCAGCACTTTGGGAGGCCGAGGCAGGCGGATCACGAGGTCAGGAGATCGAGACCATCCTGACTAACATGGTGAAACCCCGTCTCTACTAAAAATACAAAAAATTAGCCAGGCATGGTGGCAGGCGCCTGTAGTCCCAGCTACTCAGGAGGCTGAGGCAGGAGAATGGCGAGAACCCGGGAGGTAGAGCTTGCAGTGAGCCGAGATGGCACCACTGCACTCCAGCCTGGGCAACAGAGCGAGACTCCCCTAAAAAAAAAAAAAAAAGAAAGAAAGAAAATTCTAGAACTGCAAATTACAATGTTTGAATTTAAAAATTAAATGGGCCGGGCAGGATGGCTCACACATGTAATCCCAGCACTTTGGGAGGCCGAGGCGGGGGGATCACGAGGTCAAGAGATCGAGACCATCCTGGCCAACATGGTGAAACCCCGTCTCCACTAAAAATACAAAAACTTAGCTGGGCATGGTAGCAGGCACCTGTAATCCTAGCTACTCAGGAGGCTAAGGCAGTAGAATTGCCTGAACCCAGGAGGCGGAGGTTGCAGTGAGCCGAGATTGCACCACTGCACTCCAGTCAGGCAACAGAGCAAGATTCCATCTAAAAAATAAATAAATAAATAATTAACTAAATGAACTTAATCGCAGATTAGATACAGTAGAAGAAAAGGACAGTAAACTTAAACATCAAAAGAAATTATCCAATTTAGAGACCTGAGGAACAATACTAAGTGGTCTAAAATATATGTAATTAAAGTTCCCAGAAGAAGAAAAGACAGAATAAGAAATTAAAAAATTTTGAAAAAAATAATAGATGGGCTGGGCACGGTGGCTCACACCTGCAATCCCAGCACTTTGGGAGGCTGAGGCGGGTGGATCACCTGAGGTCAGGAGTTCGAGACCAGCCTGGCCAACATGGTGAAACCCCGTCACTACTAAAAATACAAAACTGGGTGTGATGGCACATGCCTGTAATCCCAGCTACTTGGGAGGCTGAGGCAGGAGGATCACTTGAACCTGGGAGGCGGAGGTTGCAGTGAGCCAAGATCACACCATTCATTGCATTTCAGCCTGGGAAACAAGAACAAAACTCCATCTCAAAAAAAAAAAAGAATAAATGAAAATTTCTCAAATTTGGTGAAAAATATTAACTTATAAATCCAAAAAGCTCAGCAAACTCCAAGGAGGATAAATACAAAGAAAACATCATAATCAAACTGCTGAAAACCAGAGATACAGAGAAACTCTTGAAACAGTCTTATGGGGAAAAAAATCAATACAACATATACAGAGACAGAACAA
Source organism: Homo sapiens (assembly GCF_000001405.40). Taxonomy (NCBI): domain Eukaryota; kingdom Metazoa; phylum Chordata; class Mammalia; order Primates; family Hominidae; genus Homo; species Homo sapiens. The sequence continues at coordinate 67,667 of NW_003315970.2, forward strand.
TAGGAATGATGGCTGACTTCTAACCAGAACAAAGGATACTAGAAGACACAGGAATGACACTGTTAATAACGCTTTAAGACAAAAAAAAATCAGGCCAGGTGTGGTGGCTCATGCCTGTAATCCCAACACTTTGGAGACTGAGGTGGGCAGACTGCTTTGAGGCCAGGAGTTCAAGACCAGCCTGGGCAACATGGAGAAACCCCATCTCTAATAAAAATACAAAAATTAGCTGGGCATGGTGGCCCTTACCTGTAGACCCAGCTACTCAGGAGGCTGAGGCACAGGAATCACTTGAACCCAGGAGCTGGAGGTTGCAGTGAGCCGAGATCGCACCACTGCACTCCAGCCTGGGCAAAAAAGTGAGACTCTGTCTCGGAAGAAAAAAAAAAAAAAAAAAAACTCAATCCCAAATTCTATACCCAGCAAAAATATTCTCCAAAAATGAGGATAGCCAAGCATGGTGGTGTGCACTTGTAGTCTCAGCTACTCAGGAGGCTGAGATGCAAGGATCACTTGTGCCCAGAAGTTCGAGGTTACAGTGAGCTATGACAGGTGACACAGTGAGACCTTGTCTCAAAAAAAAAAAAAAAACAAGAAGGTGACAGCAATTCTACTCCTATCTAACTACCCAAGAGAAATGAAAATATATCTTCACAATAACTTGTTCATAGCAGCATTATTCGTAATTGCCACGGAGTGGAAGCAACCAAACATACATCAACGAATGGATAAATAAAACATAGCACATCCATACAACGAAATACAAATTCAGCAACAAAAAGGAAAGAGGTTCCTACTGATAGATGCTACATGAACGAACCTCAACAACTGACTAAGTAAAAGACAGAAGACCATATATTGTGTGATTCCATTTACAAGAAACATCCAGAATAGGCAAATCTATAGACATAAAGCGGATTAGTGGCTGTCTAGGGATGGGGAGAAGAAAGATACAAAGTGACTGCAAAAGGCTACAAGATTCTAAAACTAGATTGTGGCAATGACTGCACAGCTCCGTAAATACTAAAAATCATTCGACTGTACACTTAAAACAGGTGAATGTTACAGTATATATACTGTATCTCAACAAAGCTGTGTTTTTTGGGGGGCAGGGGAGGGGGTTGTTGTTGTTTTTTTTAAGAGAGACAGGGTTTCAACCCAGTTGTCCAAGCTGGTCTTAAACTCCTGAACTCAAGCGATCTGCCTGCCTCAGCCTCCCAAAATGCTGAGATTACAGGTGTGCACCACCATTCCCAGCCAGTTTTCTTTTTTTTAATAAGAGTAAAATAATGGTACTTCCAGGTAAACAAAAATTGAGATAATTCATCACCAAACCTGCGCTAAGAAAGAAATGCTAAAGGGAATTCTTCAAGCTGAAAGGAATGATACCCGATGAAACTGAGACCTACAAGAAAAACTGAAGAGGCCAGGTGCAATGGCTAACACTTGTAATCCCAGCACTTTGGGAGGCCAAGGTGGGTGGATTACCTGAGGTCAGGAGTTCGACACCAGCCTGGTGAAACCCTGTCTCTACTAAAAATACAAAACCAAGCTGGGCGTGGTGGTGGATGCCTGTAATCCCACCTATTCAGGAGGCTGAGGCAGGAGAATCACTTGGACCCGGGAGGCAGAGGTTGCAGTGAGCCAAGATCGTGCCATTGCACTCCAGCCTGGGCAACAGGAGTGAAACTCCGTCACCAAAAAAAAAAAAAAAAAAAAAAAAAAAAGACAACAATTTAAAGCAAAAATTAGAACACTGTAGAGAATGTCCAAAAAGATAAATTTCTTTCTAAACAGTATGTCAGTTATGTTTTCAAATAATATCATTAAATATGGTTTTAGGTAAAATACCTCTAAATTTAAAGTAGTGAGTCCAATTGTTAATCTGAAAAAAGCACAATAAATATATTACAGAAGGTCCAAACACTGAAAACACAGACTGGGAGACAATATTTACAAAATGATTATCTGGCAAAGGACTTGTCCTTGCATATATAAAGAACTCCTAAACATTAATAATAAAAAGAAAAAATATAGGCAATAAAAAGTATATGAGACTCGAACAGACAATTCATGACCAATAAGCACTGAAAAAGATGTTCAACATCATTAGTCAACAGGGAAATGCAAATTAATGAAAGATACCTCACACCTACTATAACAGCTAAACTTAAAAAGATTGACAACGCCAAATGTCAGTGAGGATGTAGAACAAATAAAATTCTCACAACACGTTTCTGATGGCAGTTTTATAAGGTTAAAAATAAATCTCTCTAAAACTCAGTAATTTCATTCCTAGGTGTTTACCCAAGGGAAGTAAAAACATCAACACATACAAAAAGGTTTGTACAGGAAAGCTTATAGCAGTTTTATTCATAATAGTGCAAAACAGAAACAACCTAAATGTTCATCAATAGAAGATGGTAAAACAAATTATGTCTGTTCACACAATGGAATACTAAGCAATAGAAAAAATATGAACCAATACGTATTTTAATTCTCATATAAAAAATCTCAAAAACATGACTTGAGTAAAAGAAGGCAGATACAGAAGAGTATATACTATATGACTCCATTTAAACGAATTTTAAGAAGAGGTAAAACTAATCAATAGTCACAAAAATCAAAACAGTGGCTACCTACAAGGGGAGAGGACCAACTAGAAGGAACTTTTTGGGGTGAATGGAAATATTCAATATCTTGATTGGGATAGTGGTTATGCAAGTAAATACACTTATCAAGTCACTGAAGTGTACACTTAAGATCTGTCTGTACAGATCTTAAAATTTTAAATTTTTTATCATTTAGCTATGCTTTAGTTACACTAAAGTATTATTCTGAATGCAATATGAACACATTTTATCAAGATATTCTACAGACAAGTTAATGAATTATTATAAAAGATTAAGTAGTAACTGGTTAAAAGCAAGTATGGGCCGGGCACGGTGGCTCATGCCTGTAATCCCAGTACTTTGGGGGGCTGAGATGGGTGGATCATGAGGTCAGGAGTTCAAGACCAGCCTGGCCAAGATGGTAAAATCCTGTCTCTACTAAAAATACAAAAATCAGCCAGGCGTGGTGGCAGACACCTGTAATCCCAGCTACTTGGGAGGCTGAGGCAGGAGAATCACTTGAACCCAGGCAGCAGAGGTTGCAATGAACCAAGATCACACCACTGCACTCCAGCCTGGGTGACAGAGTGAGACTCCGTCTCCAAAAAAAAAAAAGCATGGGGAAAGTCACCATGAATTTAAGGCAATGCTTGAAGATTAAAAAAAATTCATTTCCCACATAAAATTCATTTCCCATATATTAATCTATTATAAATTATTATATAAGCAGAAATGAGGTAGGTATTTCCACACACAGATTTATAAAACAAGTCATAATCTCCTCCCAACTAGGGCTTAAATTGGGTCAGAGATGGGGTGGGACAAAGGAACAGGAAAACAAATTTATACAAATAATGACTATGAAGGAAATGCATAGGATCCTAAGAGAATAAAGGGGAAGCTTATTTCAGAATGAGTGGTCAGGGAAAGCCTCTTTGAAGAGGTAAAGTTTGCTAAAATTAAAAAAAACCTACTGAAATTTAAAAGCTGAGTAAAGTTAATTAGATTAAATAGAAGTAAAAGGAGTAGAGCAGAGAGAGGGAAAAATATACACAAAGCCCCTAAATCCCTTAGTACCAGCAAGGAAGAATTAGCTGCTACCTAGGAGAATCAGGATAAAGAAAGAAAGTAAAGGTGGCAGGGTTCAGTGGCTCATGTCTGTAATCCTAGCACTTTGGGAGGCCAAGGTGGGCAGATCATTTGAGGTCAGGAGTTCGAGGCCAGCCTGGCCAACATGGTGAAACCCTGGCTCTACTAAAAATACAAAAATTAGCCGGGCATGGTGGCGGGCACCTGTAATCCCAGCTACTCAGGAGTCAGATGCAGGAAAATCACTTGAACCCAGGAGGTGGAGGTTGCAGTGAGCTGAGATCACACCACTGCATTGCCCAAGCTGGTCCCTAACTTCTGGCCCCAAGTGATTCTTCCATTTCAGCCCCCCTAGAGTAGCTGGGATTACAGGTGCAAGCCATGGTGCCCTAACAAATATGTTTAGAAGAGTTGTAGGACACTGTTTGCCAGAAAGAGTCAAGGAAAGATCAATAAATTAAAAGGAAATAAAATATGGCCGGGCATGGTGGCTCATGCCTGTAATCCCAGCACTTTGGGAGGCCATGGCGGGCAGATCACTTGAGGTCAGGAGTTCAAGACCACCCTGGCCAACATGGTGAAACCCTGTCTCTACTAAAAACACAAAAATTAGCCGACATGGTGGCACATGCCCGTAGTCCCAGCTACTGAGGAGGCTGAGGCAGGAGAATTGCTTGAACCTGGGAGGCAGAGGTTGCAGTGAGCCAAGATTGCGCCATTGCACTCCAGCCTGGGCAACAAGAGTGAAACTGTCTCAAAAAAAAAGAGGATTTCTTCCAAGAGTTGTAATAGGAAATGAAACGTAGCTTTACCAGTACAACCCTGAAGACAAGGCACAAGCAAAGCAATGGCTACCAGACCAAGGCGGAAGAATCACTTGTGGCCAGGAGTGCAAGACCACATCTCTACAAAAAATGTAAAAACTTAGCCAGGTATGGTGGTGCAAACCTGTAGTCCTAGCTACTTGAGGAGAGGCTGAGGTGGTAGGATCACCTGAGCCTAGGCATCTGAGACTGCAGTGAGTTATGACTGCACCACTGTACTCCAGAATGGATGCAGAGCAAGATCCTGTCTCTAAAAAAATTAAAAATAAATAAATTATTAAAAATAAAGCAATGGCTACCAAGAGGTAGAAGTGGTCTAGTCAAAGCAAAAGCAGATTGGTCTGGCAAGGCAAAATGGCTCATGCCTATTATCCCAACACTTTGGGAGGCCAAAGTAAAATGATCGCTTGAGGCAAGGAGTTTGAGACCAGCCTGGGCAAAACAGGCAGACCTTGTCTCTACAAAGAAAAAATATATATATAATAAAATGAAATGAAAATTAAAGCGGACTGGTCAAGAGGAAAGGTCATGCATGGCAACAGTTTTTTTTTAATGCTCCAGGCATTTTGCTGGTTGACTTTCCACCGGACCAAAAAACAATAACATCTGTTTACTATGAGAGTATTTTGAGAAAGCCAAAGCTTTAGCAGAAAAACACCCCGGAAAGCTTCGCCAAAGAGTCCTCTACCACAAACAACAACGCTCCTGGCTCATTTCTCTCATCAAACAAAGGCAATTTTACAAGAGTTCCGATGGGAAATCATTAGGCATCCACCCTAACAGTCCTGATCTGGCTCCTCTGACTTCTTTTTGTTTCCTAATCTTCAAACATCTTTAAAAGGCACCCATTTTTCTTCAGTTAATAATGTAACAAAGACTGCACTGACATGGTTAAACTCCCAGGACCCTCAGTTCTTTAGGGATGGGCTAAATGGCTGCTATCACTGCTTACAAAAGTGTCTTGAACTTGATGGAGCTTACACTGAGAAACACAGTTTATATTTTTTACTTGTGCTTTTTAATTCCATTTTTACACAGACTTTCTGAAGTCCCCTGATATATTTCAAAATAACTAGAAAAGAGGACTTGAAATGTTCAAAACACACAGAAATGATAAATACTTGAGGTGATGGAGACTCTAAATACCCTATTTATTACACGTGCTATGCACATAACAAAATATCTTATGTACCCCATAACTATATACAAATATTATGTATTAATCATAAAAAAGAAACATTGAGAGACTGAAAAATACCCTTTGGAATTTAAAAACATGATGGTAGAAACTTTCTTAAATTCCAAATAGAAGGGTTGGGGAATAAAAGTTAAGAAAATAGAGGCCGGCTGGCCCGGCGCGGTGGCTCACGCCTGTAATCCCAGCACTTTGGGAGGCCGAGGCAGGCAGATCATGAAGTCAGGAGATAGAGACCATCCTGGCTAACACGGTGAAACCCCGTCTCTACTAAAAATGCAAAAAATTAGCCGGGCATGGTGGCGGGTGCCTGTAGTCCCAGCTACTCGGGAGGCTGAGGCAGGAGAATGGCATGAACCCGGGAGGTGCAGCTTGCAGTGAGCTGAGATCGCGCCACTGCACTCCAGCCTGGGCGACAGAGCAAGACTCCGTCTCAAGAAAAAAAAAAAAAAAAGAAAGAAAAAAGAAAATAGAGGCCAGCTGCGATGGCTCACTCCCGTAATCCCAGAACTTTAAGAGGCAGAGGTGGGCAGATCACCTGAGGTCAGGAGTTCGAAACCAGCCTGGCCAACATGGTGAAACCCCGTCTCCACTAAAAAGTACAAAAATTAGCTGCGAGTGGTGGCAGGCAACTGTCATCCCAGCTACTCAGGAGGCTGAGGCTGGAGAATCACTTGAACCCGGGAGACAGAGGTTGCAGTGAGCTGAGATCGCGCCGCTTCACTCCAGCCTGGGTGACAACAGCGAGACTCCATCTCAAAAAAAAACAAAAAAAAAAAAAAAGAAAGAAAATAAAAGAAAAGAAAATAGAGCAACGCTCAGCATAGTGGCTCCTGTCTATAATGCCAGTACTTTGAGAAGCTTTTAAGCAGGAGGAGGCTTTGAGGTCAGGAGTTCTGAGACCAGTCTGGGGAACACAGTGAGACTTTGTTTCTATAAAAACTTAAAATAAATAAATAAATAAATAAAATTGCCCAGGCATGGTGACATATGCCTCTAGTCCCAGCTACTTGGGAGGCTGAGGCTGAAGGATCACTTAAGCCTAAAAGGTCAAGGTTGCAGTGAGCCATGATCATGCCACTGCACTCCAGCCTGGGTGAGAGAGCAAGACCCTGTCTCAAAAATAAAAAAACAAAAGAAAAGGAAAAGAAAATACAAAAATAGAGCAAAAAAATAGATAGAAAACAGATAAGAAATTAGAAGACCAGGGCCAGGCACAGTGGCTCACGCCTGTAATCCCAGGACTTTGGGAGGCCCAGGCAGGCAGATCACCTGAGGTCAGGAGTTAGAGACCAGCCTGATCAACATAGAGAAACTCCATCTCTACTAAAAATACAAAGTTAGCCGTGAGTGGTGGCGCATGCCTGTAATCCCAGCTACTTGGGAGGCTGAGGCAGGAGAATCACTTGAACCCAGGAGGCGGAGGTTGCAGTGAGCTGAGATCTCACCACTGCACTCCACCCTGGGCGATACAGCGAGACTCTGTCTCCAAGAAAAGAAAGAAAGAAGTTAAAAGACCAGTATAAAAGATTCACATATAAATAACAGGTATTTCAGAAAGGAACTACACAGGAAATAGAAGAGAAAAAAGAATCAACAAAATATTTCAAGAAAATTTCCCCAGAATAGAAGTTCTTGTATTTCCGGATTTAAAGTACCCATTGAATATTTAACTAATGGAGTAAAAAAAGACCCACACTTCATTTTAAATTTCAAAACACTGAGGTCAAAGTGTAGATTCTATAAGTTTGCAGAGAGGAAAAAAACCAGGTCACATACAAAGGAGCAGGAATTATAATAGCTTTTGGAATTTGTGTGTGTATGTGCGTGAGAGAGAGAGAGACAGGGTCTCGCTCTGTCACCCAGGCTGGAGTACAGTGGCATGATCACAGCTTATTGCAGCCTCTACCTGCTAGGCTCAAGTGATCCTCCCACCTCAGCCCCAGGGAAAAGCTGGGACTATAAGCACACACTACCACGACCAGCTAATTTTTTTATAGAGATGGGATTTTGCCACATTGCCCAGGCTGGTCTTGAACTTCTGGACATAAGCAATCCACCCACTGCAGCCTCCCAAAGTGCTGGGATTACAGGCGTGAGACACCACACCCGGCCCTCAGCTTGGAATTCTTAACAGTAAAACTACAAGCAAGATGACAATGGGGCAGTAAGTTCAAAACTCTGTAGGAAAATTATTTCCAACTAAAAGATTTTTACCAGCCAAAATATCAATCAAGTATGAGGATAGCACCAAAACATATTCAGAAGCATTTTGAGAGGCCAAGGCAGGTGGATCACTTGAAGCCAGGAGTTCAAGACCAGCCTGGCCAACATGGCGAAACCCCGTCTCTATTTAAACAACAACAAAAAAATATTCAGACACGCAAGGTCTCCAAAAAAGTAACTCTTCTTCTAAAAATGTAACTCTTCTTGTCAAGAAGCTACTGGAGTTTGAGCTTCACCAGGGAGAGTAAATTAATAAAAGAGAATACAGGATACAGGAAAGATCCTGCACAGAAGAGCTAAAAAGAATCCAGCTGTGCCCCAGAAGCAGCAGATAATCAGGCCAGACTGAAGCAGTGTAACTCAGGACATAATGTCCTGGCTGCTATAGCAGTTTTTTGTGGGGGATTTTGTGCCTTTATACAAAACAATCTTTTAATAAATCCACTGGAATATAGCAGCTTTTGAAGCTGAGGACTGAATGCTCCAGGAACTTGGCCCAGAGCCTATCTGTACTCAGTGGGGCTTGGCTTGATCTTGAGCACATGCTGATGCAGTTCCTGCTCTCCTTGCAAGGCGTGCAGCCTTCGTCAGCAGAGGACACTCACTTCCCCCTCAGAGAGGTTCTGCTTTCACCTACCCTGTTAACTACAGGTAGGCCATGGTGAGCTAAGAAGCAGAAAATGCAGAGAAGCCCACTCCTTCTGACCTTATTTTTGTTGTCTTTCCATTACTTGGTCCACTAGAACCTTCCAGATACCCTGACTGAGGTGACTCCCCTTTCCTAGGACTCATAACACAGCCCACAAACTTCCTCAGAAAGGCCCCCTGTAAACGGGCAAGGGATCTGAAGCCATTCTGTTCAGCTCATCTTTTCCTAAAAACCTTCATCTAAGTGGCTGTCCTTTCCTTAGTGAAGTTTGACGTTATAATTATAAAATGAGGCCGGGCATGGTGGCTCATGCCTGTTATCCCAACTTTGGGAGGCCAAGGCAGGTGGATCATGAGGTCAGGATTTCGAGACCAGCCTGGCCAACATAGTGAAACCCCATCTCTACTAAAAATACAAAAATTAGCCAGCTACTCAGGAGGCTGAGGAAGGAGAATTGCTTGAATCTGGGAGGCAGAGGTTGCGGTGAGCCAAGATCACGCCACTGCACTCCAGCCTGGGTGACAGAGCAAGACTCCGTCTCAGAAAAATAAATAAAATGAAATTTCAATCCCAAATTTAGAAAGTTCTAGCACTGGCTGGGTGCGGTGGTTCATGCCTGTAATCCCAGCACTTTGGGAGGCCAAGGTGGACAGATTACTTGAGGTCAGGAGTTCAAGACCAGCCCGGCCAACATGGTGAAACCCCATTTCTACTAATAATACAAAAATTAGCCTGGCGTGGTGGCGCACGCCTGAAACCTTAGCTACTCGGGAGACTGAAGCAGGAGAATCACTTGAACCTGGAAGGCAGAGGTTGCAGTGAGCCAAGATGGCACCACTGCACTCCAGCTGGGCAACAGAGGGAGACTCCATCTCAAAAAAAAAAAAGAAAGCTCGGGCTGGGCGCGATGGCTCATGCCTGTAATCCCAGCACTTTGGGAGGCCGAGATGGACGGATCACGAGGTCAGGAGATTGAGACCATCCTGGCTAACACAGTGAAACCCCGTCTCTACTAAAAATACAAAAAAATAGCCGGGTGTGATGGCGGGCGCCTGTAGTTCCAGCTACTTGGGAGGCTGAGGCAGGAGAATGGCGAGAACCTGGGAGGCAGAGCTTGCAGTGAGTGGAGATCTCGCCACTGCACTCCAGGCTGGGTGACAGAGCCAGACTCCGTCTCAAAAAAAAAAAAGAAAGCTCTAGCATTTTCTAATAAGTATGTCTGGACTTCATCTACACTCTCAGGGACAGAACTTTGTTATTACCGTTTATTTAATGAACAGCCCACTATTAATAAAGATGCAGACAGTTTATAGCCCTCTGAGGCTTAACTGTAGAAATTAATGAGGTGTTTTGATTTTATAGCCTGGTAAGAAAATCAATCCCAAAGATATTATGATTTTGTTGCCCTGTGGAACATTAACCAATCAAACTAACTTAGCCACAATACTGAGACATTTCTTTCCCTACAAATTACATAAATATCAATTCCTTATATCCTCTTAAAACCAGCTTCTTTGGCCAGGCATGGTGGCTCATGCCTGTAATCCCAGCACTTTGGGAGGCCAAGGTGGGCAGATCACCTAAGGTCAGGAGTTCGAGACCAGCCTGTGCTGGCCAGGCTGGTGAAACCCGGCTCTACTTAAAATACAAAAATTAGCCGGGCATGGTGGCAGGCGCCTTTAATCCTAGCTACTCAGGAGTCTGAGGCAGAACTGCTTGAGCCCGGGAAGAGGAGGTTGCAGTGAGCTGAGACCATGCCACTGTACCCCGGCCTGGGCAACAGAGCCAGACTCCATCTCAAAACAAAACAAAAACACAGCTCTTTGAGGTACTCTCAATAATAGTAAAACAAAACTGAAACACGCTCCCTATCTATCTGCATGAGAATTGTGTTTGTAACACCATTCATTCAAAACTAAGGTGGCTCACCACTGTAATCCCAGCACTTTGTGAGGCCAAGGTGGGTGGATCACCTGAGGTCAGGAATTCAAGACCAGCCTGGCCAACCTGGAGAAACCCCATCCTTACTAAAAATAAAAAAACTAGCCGGGCATAATGGCGGTCACCTGTAATCCTAGCTACTTGGGAGGCTGAGACAGGAGAACCACTTGAACCCAGAAGGCAGAGGCAGCAGTGAGCCGAGATTGTGCCACTGCACTCCAGCCTGGGTAACAGAGCAAGACTCTGTCTCCAAAAAAAAAAAAAAAAAAAAAACCCACTAAGTATACTGTTTAGGATATAGGAGTGTGTGTGCAAATTTATGTATATATTTGTAAACATGCACATACGTATAAATGTATATGTATGTGAATTTATGTATACATGCATAAAGCTTATTTTAAAAAGCAAGAGGCCGGGCGCGGTGGCTCACGCCTGTAATCCCAGCACTTTGGGAGGCCAAGGCAGGTGGATCATGAGGTCAGGAGATCGAGACCATCCTGGCTAACACAGTGAAACCCTGTCTCTACTAAAAAAAATAAAAATAAAAATAATAAAGAAAGCCAGGCGTGGTGGCACATGCCTGTAGTCCCAGCTACTCAGGAAGCTGAGGCAGGAGAATGGCATGATCCCAGGAGGCGGAGCTTGCAGTGAGCCGAGATCGCGCCACTGCACTCCAGCCTGGAAGACAGCGAGACTCCATCTCAAAAAAAAAAAAAATAAAAATAAAAATAAATAAATAAATAAAATAAAATAAAATAAAAATAAATAAAATAAAAAAGCAAGAGAAAGATAAACACAAACAAATCAGGACAGAGGCTACCTCTGGAAGAAAAAAATGCAAACATTTTGTTCCCCCACCGCCACCACCCCCAAGACAGAGTCTCTCTCTGTCACCCAGGATGGAGTGCAGTGGCGTGATCTGAGCTCACTGCAACCTCCACCTCCCAGGTTCAAGCAATTCTCCTGCCTCAGCCTCCCAAGTAGCGGAGATTACAGGTGCCCACCACCACGACCGGCTAATTTTTATATTTTTGGTAGAGACAGGGTTTCACATGTTGGCCAGGCTGGTCTCCAACGCCCAGTCTTCAGTGATCTGCCTGTCTCAGCCTCCCAAGATGCTGGCATTACAGGTGTTGAGCCACTGCGGCTGGCCAAACATTTTGTTTCTTAATCTGGTAGTGGATACAAAATGATCATTGCAATAGTATTCTTTAAATTATACATGTTTTATATGCTTTTTTGTACCTGAGATAAAATTTGCAATGAAAGAAATTATTACTATTTTTTTTTGGGAGATGGAGTCTCGCTCTGTCGCCCAGGCTGGAGTGCAGTGGCACGATCTTGGCTCACTGTAACTCCCGCCTCCTGGATTCAAGCAGTTATCTGCCCCCACCTCCCAAGTAGCTGGGATTACAGGGGCCCATCACCAGGCCCGGCTACTTTTTTGTATTTTTAGTAGAGACAGGGTTTCACCATCTTGGCCAGGCTGGTCTTGAACTCCTGACCTCGTGATCCACCCGCCTTGGCCTCCCAAAGTGCTGGGAATACAGGCGTGAGCCACCGCGCCCAGGAAGAAATTACTTTTAAAAAAGAACAAGCAGCTGGGTGCGGTGGCTTACTCCTGTAATCCCAGCACTTTGGGAGGCCAAGGTGGGCAGATCATGAGGTCAGGAGAACAAGACAATCCTGGCTAACACGTTGAAACCCCATCTCTAATAAAAATACAAAAAATCAGCTGGGCGTGGTGGCACCCACCTGTAGTCCCAGCTACTCGGGAGGCTGAGGCAGGAGAATCACTTAAACCCAGGAGGTGGAGGTTGCAGTGAGCCAAGATCTCACCACTGCACTCCGGCCTGGGCAGCAGAGCCCCCTCTAATCTGAAGGACCTCTCTTATCACTTCTGCCAACCCAATTAAATGAGGCAATATAACCTTAAGGTCAACACCACTTCGTGGTAAGAAGAGTAATAAATCCTCTATTATTTAATACAGTCTTCAAAATTTTCTGTTCCAGCCTCTAAATATAAAAGAATATATAGAGCCAGGCACAGTGGCTCATGCCTGTAAACCCAAGACTTTGGGAGGCCTAGGTGGGTGGATCCCCTGAGATCGGGAGTTCAAGACCAGCCTGACAAAAGCCCGTCTCTACTAAGAATACAAAATTAGCCGAGGTGGTGGCGCATGTCTGTAATCCCAGCTACTCAGGAGGCTGAGGCAGGAGAATTGCTTGAACCTGGGAGATGGAGGTTGCAGTGAGCCAAGATCACGCCATTGCACTCCAGCTTGGGCAACAAGAGCAAAACTCCGTCTCAAAAAATAATAAAAGAATATATGGAATCTTAGAAATGCATTTAATTCAAATAGATTTAGCTACTGCTTTTAAATTATAAAATCTTTTAAGTTATAACATCAGGCGTGGTGGCTCACACCTGTAATCCCTGCACTTTGGGAAGCCGAGGCCAGCGGATCACGAGGTCAGGAGATTGAGACCATCCTGGCTAAAACGATGAAACCCCGTCTCTACTAAAAACACAAAAAATTAGCTGGGCGTGGTGGAGGGTGCCTGTAGTCCCAGCTTCTCGGGAGGCTGAGGCAGGAGAATGGTGTGAACCCGGGAGGTGGAGCTTGCAGTGAGCCGAGATCGCACCACTGCACTCCAGCCTGGGCGACAGAGTGAGACTCCATCTCAAAAAAAAAAAAAAAAAAACAACTTTAAGTTTAAAAAGATTCCTTGTGAAATAAAATTATATCAAAGTACAATCATCTGTTTATATTATCTACTTGAAACTTACCCTAGAACGACAAAAAGATTTTCATAAAGCAAAGCTTTTAATGGCTAAAACCCAGAAACAGTCAAAATGTCCATCAATAAGGAACCAAAAAATGTATATTAGGGTACATCCAAACAACGGTATACCATGCAACATTCTGAAAATGAGGCAAGTTGGCTGGGCAGGATGGCTCACACCTGTAATCCCAGCACTTTGAGAGGCTGAGGCAGGTGGATGGCTTGAGTTCAGGAATTCAAGACCAGCCTGGGCAATATGAGAAACCCGTCTCTACAAAAATTACAAAAATTAGGCATGGTGGCACTCGCCTATAGTCTCAGCTTCTCAGGAGGCTGAGGTGGGAGGATCGTTTGAGCCCAAGGCTGCAGCAAGCCGTGAGGGAACCACTGCACTCCAGCCTGGGCAACACAGTGAGACCCGGTCTCCAAAGTGAGGGGTGGGGTTGGGAGGAAATGAGGTAGGTCTCCACGTGCTTATGAAGGAAATGTGTCCTTATATTATCATCAGTTGCCGAGCAATATTATAATATAATACCCTCCTAGGGAATGGAATTGAGGATGTAAAGAGTGAACAAACAAGGAATTCTAACTTGACATACCTCTGCGCTGTCTGAATTTTACTTGATATTCTTCTGTCATGTTTAAATGTTTTAAACAACCTGAATGTTACTTTAATCATTTAAAAAGTAAAACGGGCTAGGTACGGTGGCTCACGTCTGTAATCCCAGCACTTTGGGAGGCCGAGGCGGGGGGGGGTTACCTGAGGTCAGGAGTTCGAGTCTCTACTAAAAATACAAAAATTAGCTGGGCGTGGCGGCGGGCGCCTGTAATCCCAGTTTACTTGGGAGGCTGAGACAGGAGAATCGTTTAAACCTGGGAGGCGGAGGTTGCAGTGAGCCACGATAGCGCCATTGCACTCCAGCCTGGGCAACAAGAGCAAAACTCGGCCTCAAAAATTATATATATATATACATAAGTTAAAAATAAACTTTAGGCCGGGCACAGTGGCTCACGCCTGTAATCCCAGCACTTTGGGAGGCTGAGGCAGGTGGATCACGAGGTCAGGAGATCGAGACCATCCTGGCTAACACGGTGAAAACCCGTCTTTACTAAAAATACAAAAAATTAGCCGGGCGTGGTGGTGGGCGCCTGTAGTCCCAACTACTAGGGAGGCTGAGGCAGGAGAATGGCGTGAACCCAGGACGTGGAGCTTGCAGTGAGCCGAGATCTTGCCACTGCACTCCAGCCTGGGAGACAGAGCAAGACTCTGTCTCAAAAAATAAATAAATAAATAAATTTAAAAATAATAATAATACACTTTAAAAGGCCAGGCGCGGTGCCCACACCTGTAATCCCAGTACTTTCAGAGACCGAGGCAAGCGGATCACTTGAGGTCAGGAGTTCAAGACCAGCCTGGCCAACATGGTGAAACTCTCTCTCTACTAAGAATATAAAAATTAGCCAGGCATGGTGGCAGGCGCCTGTGATCCCAGCTACTCGGGAGGCTGAGGCTGTAAAATCCCTTTAACCCTAGAGGTGCAGGCTGCAGTGAGCAGAGATCGGGCCACTGTACTTGTAGCCTGGTCAACGAGGGAGACTCTGTCTCAAAAAAAACAGAAAAGGAAAATGAGGATAAAATACGATAAATTCTTTACCTTGGCCCCCAGAAGTGAATTCAGAATTCAGAAAAGACTAGCCAGTGTAAGGCTGCTGTAACCCTAGTTGACAGAGAGGAGGGATTGGGGTGGTGAGTGGGAAGGCTGTGTCTCCGGAAGAAGAAATATACGTCCCCACCTCACTCTAATTAAACCTGCTTTTCCAGCGCGATAAATATTCAAGATAACTTTTGGTTTGCATTTCAATAACAAAGTCTTGCACCACTATCTTCAGTTTAAAAAAAAAGTTTAATGTTTGCTCTACGTTTGAAATGCATGCAGGTTTAAAAGACAAGAAACAAAATGATGAAAAAGTGTGACCGGCCTGAGAGTTCAGAGCCTCTGAAGTGTCAAGGGATCCACAGTGCAGGTAGGATGAAGAGTCTGAGAAGGGAGATGGGATCCTCCGAAAAGAGAAAATCGGGTCTTACAGCGCGATGTAAGACGATGCGGATGCCACTTCCCTCCCACCCCGTCCCGTCCGAGGCCTCCGCCCCCTGCCCCTCCGCACCCCCCGACCCAGGCACGCGCAGCGGGGAGCAGCCCAGCCTAGCCCGTCTCACTGCTTTGGTTTTGAAAGGTCACGTATTTACCTTAGAATTTCAGCACCTTCCAACTTACTGTTTTAAGTACCTTTAACCAGCCTATTGGCTAAAAACCGAAACGGTCCTACCCGCGACTACCACTGCTCCAGTGACAATGCTCTGCTGCTACTTATTTAACGGAGCTCAAGGTTTATAATTCTCGAAAGAATGTTGTTCCCCTTCCCTTTCCCCTCCCGCCTCTGTACTTGACTCTCGTAAGAATGAAATCAGAAAAGTGCAGAAAACACAGGCTCCTAGCAATGGTTCGGGGCAAACGGGAGGGGCGAAGAAGGGCTGGAGCCGCCCCGGGGCCCTCGCTCCGGCCTCGGGAGGGCGTCGCGGCCGCAGCAGGGCGTCCCGAAAACCGTCGCCTCCGTGCCCGCCGCGCGAGAAGGTGAAAGGCACGAGATGGAGCCTCTCCAGCCCTCCCCAGGAACGCAACCTGACGGCGTGACAGCGCGGCAGGGCAGCCTCCCCGGGCTGCTTGCGGGTCGCGGCGGCGCCACGGTCACGGTCGGCCCGAAGGGACGCGGGCAGGGGCAAGAAGGGGCGGCGGGGGCTCCGCGGGCCCGAGTCTGCAGGCCGGCGCCGAACGCAGGGAAAACCCGGCTGGACGGCCCCACAGCCCCCAGAAGGCCGGGCCGGACAGGGCCCGACGAGGGAGCCTCCTTACGCGCGGGCGGCGGGCGCGAGCCCTCTACGGTTGCCTGGCGCCGGAGACCCACAGACAGGACTCACCCAGCTTCCTCAAACGCCCACGCCGACTTCAGGCGCGCGCGCAGGAAGGAGACTGCTGCGCCACAACCCTGCCGGCGTCCCGCGGCTCCACCTCAGCCCCGGGAGCCCGGAGCTGGGAGCAGACGCGAGGATAGAGCGCCGGTGAGGCGGGGCGAGGCGCCGTGTGCACCGCAGCGACCAATCGGAGCGCAGCAAGTGGCCGGCCGGGGGCGGGGCGGGACGCGAGGGGGCGGGGAGAGGGCGTTGGCTGGGCGCAGCGGGACGCCGGGCGCTCCTCGCGACCAATCGGCGTGCAGCAAGTGGCCGGCCGGGGGCAGGGCGAGCTCCGAGGGACGGGGTGGGCTGCTCTGCAGGCCTCCCGGAGCCGGAGTTCAGACCCAGCTATCTACGGTTCCGGGCAGAGCGGGACGGGCCTCTCCTGTCCCCTGCCGGTGGGCGGCCGCCGCCGGGCTCCCACTGCTGCGTTTCTGCACGCTGACTTGAAGTGCAGTACCGTGAGATTACGTGCGGACGGAGCTCGAGACCCGGGGGACCAGGGTTTCCCTTCGCCTATGGCCGATCAGTCTTGTCTGTCTGCGAGCTGCCCAGAGTAGGGAAGGTGCTCCGGGAGGGTTCTCGGGAACGGAGGGTCTTTAGAGATGCCTTTTTCTAATCCCCTCAATTCAGAAATGGAGCCCCAGAAAGTTGAAGTTAGTAAACCAGGGCTACCCAGCGAGTGCTGGTTACCCGAGGTGATCCTCACAATACAACTAGTCTTCTGATTTCGCTCGGCGCTCTCCCGTCTATTCACGTAGATTTTTGTCTTTTTTTTTTTTTTTCGTCTTTCTTATAGTCAGATATCTTTCAGCCTCTTGGATTTTCAACATAACTTTAACAGCGTTTGGAAGCCCCGTCTAAATTTCCTACAGAAATGCCTATAACCATTTAGTTGTTTGGGGGAAAGTCGAGCTTTGTTTTTTGGGTGGTTTGTTTGTTTGTTTTGAGACAGGGTCTTGCTCTGTTGTCCAGGGTGGAGTGCAGTGGTGTGATCTTGGCTCACTGCAGCCTCTTACCTCCCACGCTCAATCAATCCTCCCACCTCAGCCTTCCGAGTAGCTGGGATTACAGGTGCGCACCACCATGCTTGGCTAATTTGTGTATTTTTAGTAGAGACGGGATTTCACCTGGCTGATCCTGAACTCCTGACCTCAGGTGATCCACCCGCCTCTGCCTCCCAAAATGCTGGGATTACAAGCGTGGGCCACTGTGCCCAGCCAAGTAGAGTTATTATCAGTGGAAATCTAAAAAGCATTTTACTTGAGGCATAATGAAGTAAAAGGTTTTGTATCATGGAATTATCACCAAAAATGCCATCCTGGATAATGTTCTCCTATAGCTCTTATACATGGGCTAGGATCTAGGTGTTCAATAAATATGTGCTGAATAATTTACTTTTGAAATATGTCACAATGCTGGCATTCCACCAGAAGAGAGGATACAGAAGGGAACACTCTCCTCTCTTTAAGAACCTTTTGAAAGGGGCGGGGGTTGCATGTACCATTTTTGTTTTCATTCTGCTAGTAAAATAGTCACTTGACTACACCAAATTGCAAAGAAGGCTGGAAAATGGGGTTTCAGTACTAAGGAAGGAAAACTAGATATTAGGGGACAATTAGAAGTTTCCAAATCTCATCACTTTTTTTGGGGGGGTGGGGGAGGCATCCCAAAGGGCAGACTGGTTTATTAGGCAGCAGCCAGGAAAATCAGCGGTTGGACTTGTCCCCACACTCCAGCTCATCCTTCTTGTTGATGGCATAGGAGCTGGAGGAGGCCTTGGTGGCATTGATGAGCTCATCCGCCAGGCACTCAGCAATGGTCTTGATGTTCCAGAAGGCAGCCTCACGAGTGCCTGTGCACAGCAGCCAGACGACCTGATTCACACAGTGCAGTGGGGACATGTCCACAGCCTGTTGTCTCACAGTCCCTGCTCGCCCAATGCATGTGGAGTCCTCCCAGGGACCACTGTTGATGATGGCGTTCACCAGGACCTGGAGAGGGTTCTCGCCTGTGAGCAGGTGGATGAAATCGAAGGCATGCTTGATGATGCACATGATCATGAGCTTGTTGCTGTTGTTGCAGCCGTGCATCATCATGGAGTTAGTGAGGGGCTCCACAATGGGGCACTGAGCTTTGCGGAAGCATTTGGCTGCATACCACCCAGCACTGTGAGGCAGGTACTTGGCATACTTCTCCTTCACTGCAGTGTAATCCTGCAGGGAAATGCCATTGATCTGCATATCATCAGTGCTCCACTTCCCAGAGAGCTTGATGTCAAGGGGTCTCTGCCACTGCTGGTGCTGCTGTCTCCCACTCGGTCATCCTGAGGGCACAGCCTGAGTGTCTCTGTCGATCAGCATGGACCACATGCTGCCCTGGCACAGACAGGCCATTGCTTTTTAAAGTACTAATATTTTAAGGTTTCCCAGGATTTTTTTAAGCTTTGTTACAGAATAATATCTGTAGAAAAATGATTACCTCCATATATGAAGGAAGACATTACTGTTCACCTACCGTTGGGATGCACATGCTTTAAGTTGCTTTTTTAGTAGTGGAGACTTATGTTAATGCAGCTTGTCTGAAGTCCTTTTCTACTGCTATAACAGAATAACACAGAACAGGCAATTTATAAACAATAGTGTTTTATTTGGTCCACAGTTCTGGAAGCCGGGAACTCCAAGAGCATGGTGCTGGCATCTTGTAAGGATTTTCATGCTGTGTCATCCCATGGTAGAAAACAAGACAGACAGGGGCCAACGAGCATACAAGACAGAAGGAGAAAATCAGGCTGACGCTATCCTTTTACCAAGAGCCCAATCCCAAGATAACTAACCCACTCCCACAATAACAGCATTAATCCATTCGTGAGGGTGGAGCCCTCATGACCCAATCACATCTTCAAGGTTCTACCTCTCAACACGATTACAATAGTAATTAAGTTTCAAACACATGAACTTTTTGGGGACACATTCAAACCATAGCACAATTTGCTTCTCTCAGTCTATAAACCTCTATTCCACAAAGAGTCAAACATGTATTTAGTTATGCTTTCAAAAATATGGGCATTTGGCCGAGCACAGTGCCTCACACCTGTAATCCCAGCACTTTGGGAACCAGAGGCGGTTGGATCACCTGAGGTCAGGAGTTCCAGATCAGCCTGGTCAACATGGTAAAATTCCGTCTCAACTAAAAAGAAAAAACAATTAGCTGGGCATGGTGATACATGCCTGTAATCCCAACTACTCAGGAGGCTGAGGCAGGAGAATCACTTGAATCCGAGAGGCAGAGGTTGCAGTGAGCCAAGATCACGCCACTGCACTCCAGCCTGGGCGACAGAACAAGACTCCGTCTCAAAAAAAAAAAAAAAAAAGGCATTTGAAAGATACGGGGATTAAGTTGCTGATGTCAACATTTCGCTGTCAATTCCAAATGTACTGATTTAAGTATTTAGTAGAATTGTAAATCAGCCTTTAAAAAAAAAAACCACACATGGCCGGGTGCGGTGGCTCAAGCCTGTAATCCCAGCACTTTGGGAGGCCGAGGCGGACAGACCATGAGGTCAGGCATTCGAGACCAGCCTGGCAAACATGGTGAAACCCCGTCTCTACTAAAAATACAAAAATTAGCCAGGCATGGTGGCGCTCACCTGTAATCGCAGCTACTCAAGAGGCTGAAGCAGGAGAATCGCTTGAATCTGGGAGTCAGAGCTTGCAGTGAGCCGAGATTGCACCACTGCACTCCAGCCTGGGCGACAGAGTGAGACTAAGTCTCAAAAAAAAAAAAAAAAAACCACACATTTTCTAATTCAATTGGTATTCTACCATGTAGCTACTGAAGCATATGTTTTGTTAAATTCCTGTTACCCAAGCACTTCAGAGAGGCACTCCTAGATTCTGGAGACATTGTGACTTCAGGACCATTTTCAGGTTTGGGCCAGGACAGGTTCTGAAAGATCTACTTCACCTAAAACTAGACAGAAAATGCAGTCCAGTTGGTACAAGCCTATTAAGAGAAAGGAACAATCCAGGCTGTCCTTCACGCTACGCCCCATGGGTTCTAGTTTATTCTCTCTCAGGGCTGCTTCATGAACTTACTCTGATAGAGTGGTATTCACGTCCATCTTTTGAGTGTACAAGCCAAATGTGTACCACAGGAACTATCTGAAAGGCTAAAACATGTTGCATAAACAGGTACTTCCCAAAATATTCTCTTTCTCCATATGCTTATGTGGTTGTATAACAAAAAGATTCATCTGAATAAGTCTTAGGCAGCTATTAGAACTGTTGTATTTTGATAAAGGTGTCTTGAGACTAAGGTCATACTTCCTGTGGGTCTGAAATGGACTCTCTCCTGAAAGGATGGCTATTCAGTGTCAGTCATTTAGGAGAAAAGACTGATCTTTAGATGGGAAACAAAAAACCAAGGCCTGGAAGATAATTTGACTCCAGCAGAAGAGGAAATACTTCTTTCCACATCTAGACTCTGAAGACAGTGTATACATTTGTCAGTTGGTCTCTTTCAGTTATAAGTAACAGAAAAGAACATCTCAAACTGGCTTAAATAATGAGTAGGATTCTGTGGCTCATGGAACTGGAGGATCAGAGTTATCATGGGTGTTATGGTCTGAATGATTATGTCTCCTCAAAACTCTTATGCCAGGGTACTATATTAGTCCATTTTCACACTGCTATAAAAACATTACCTGAGCTGGGCGCGGTGGCTCACCCCTATAATCCCAACACTTTGGGAGGACGAGGAGGGCGGACCACGACGTCAGGAGTTCGAGACCAGCCTGACCAACATGGTGAAATTCTGTCTCTACTAAAAATACAAAAATTAGCCAGGTGTGGTGGCAGGTGGTTGTAGTCCCAGCTACTCAGGAAGCTGAGGCAGGAGAATCGTTTGAACCCGGGGTACAGAGGTTACAGTGAGCCAAGATCGTGCCACTGCACTCCAGCCTGGAAGATTTGTTTTTCATTTTTTTTGAGAGAGGGTCTTACTCTTGCCCAGGCTGGAGTGCAGTGGTGTGATCATGGCTCACTGCAGCCTTGACCTCCTGGGCTCAAGCGATCCTCCCACCTCAGGCTCCCAAGTAGCTGGGACTACAGGAATGTGCTACCACACCTGATTTGTTGTTGTTGTTGTTGTTGTTTTTGGTAGAGACAGAGTTTCACCATGTTTCTCTGGCTGGTCTCAAACTCCTGGGCTCAAGCAATCCTCCTGCCTTGGTCTCTCAAAATGTTGGGATTACAGGCATGAACCACCGTGCCTGGCCAATCAAAAAGATTTTTTTAAAAAAATGCATTCAGGGCTGGGGGCGGTGGCTCATGCCTGTAATCTCAGCACTTTGGGAGGCTGAGGCGGGTGGATCACCTGAGGTCAGGAGTTTGAGACGAGCCTGACCAACATGGAGAAACCCTGTCTCTACTAAAAATACAAAATTAGCCGGACGTGGTGGCACATGCCTGTAATCCCAGCTACTTGGGAGGCTGGGGCAGGAGAATCTCTTGAACCCACTAGGCAAAGTTTGCAGTGAGCCGAGATTGCGCCATTGCACTCCAGCCTGGGCAACAAGAGCAAAACTCCATTACAAAAAAAAAAAAATTAGATGCCTAGCCCAAAATATTATTACCATTATAACAAAGGGACATTGAATAATTATTATAGTAACTTTATTAACATAGACAACATTTACAAACATAAAGTGCACTGTGCTGAAATTAAAAATTTACTGACATTTTCTGGTAACCTTACCTTCTCATTGACCAATATGGAAAATGGTTTTGTTCATCTATGTTGCTGTAATGCAGTTAAGCCTCTTACGTCTAATTCCCACTTTTTTTTTTTTTTTAAGACGGAGTCTTGCTCTGTCACCCAGGCTGGAGTGCAGTGGCGCGATCTCGGCTCACTGCAAGCTCCACCTCCTGGGTTCGTGCCATTCTGCTGCCTCAGCCTCCCCAGCAGCTGGGACTACAGGCGCACACCGCCATGCTCAGCTAAATTTTTTTGTATTTTTAGTAGAGACAGGGTTTCACCGTGTTAGCCAGGATGGTCTCAATCTCCTGACCTCATGATCCGCCCGCCTGGGCCTCCCCAAGTGCTGGGATTACAGGCATGAGCCACCGCGCCCGGCCTCGAATTCCCACTTTTAACAAGAGTCACAAAATTACTGCCTTCTAAAATGTTTTTGGAACTATAGCTCTTATTAAGCAACATTCCATACTGTTCACAATTTTATTTACAGTGATACTATCATTGTAGAAACCAAATGACAAATCATTCAATAAATTATAATCACATATTATGCCAATTAATGCTGCAGCATCTAAGCTAAAGGCCAAAAATTTCTTTTTGAAGGTGTAGTTTTGTTTGTTGTTTTAACTATCACACATTTTACAAAATAACACTTTCTTCCAAAATGCAGGTGGTGAGTCCCTCACTTCTGAACCACTTCTGTAACACAGCACTCTGGATTAAAGAAGGAAACACTGCACTCCAGCCTGGGCAACAACAGCAAAACTCCATTTCAAAAAAACAAAGTGGCCACTGGACCAGGCACAGTGGCTCGCGCCTGTAATCCCAGCACTTTGGGAGGTTAAGGCAGGTGGATCACCTGAAGTCAGGAGTTCGAGACCAGCCTGGCCAAAATGGTGAAACCCCATCTCTACTAAAAAAAATAAAAATTGGCTGGGCGTGGTGACGGGCACCTCTAATCCCAGCTACTTGGGAGGCTGAGGTAGGAGAATCACTTGAACCCAGGAGGCGGAGGTTGCAGTGAGCCAAGATTGCACCATTGCACTCCAGCCTGGGCAACAAGAGTGAAACTCCATCTCAAAAAAAAAAAAAAAAGCGGACACTGGAGTTTTTTTCTAGAATTGCTAAATCAACTAGCTTCACTGATTTCTGCAGCCAATAAACCATCAAGTTAGACAGGAAAAAGTAGAATCTGGATGTTTGGTGTGTTTTTCATTCAGTACCCACAGAGAAGGCCCTCATAAAAAGAAAAGTACAGTAATTCCAGTAGGCTAATTTTCTGATCTTAATATTTCCACCCATATGGAGGGTGTCCCAAAAGTCTTGGAACGGTTTTGAGCCTTAATAAGTTCAGGAATATAAATCCAGCAAGCTCGTTTAAAAAAAAAAGTCATCTGGAGGTTTAATTGGTTAAATTTCATAACACTTCAGTTTTGTGACTTTTGATAACATATTTTTCGGTTTCCCTGTTGTTTAAGTACCTATGTTTGAAAATGGCAACAGTCACTGCTTTTAAGTTAGTTATTACAGCTCAAAACTGCACCAAAACTTTTGGAATTCATGTATGATTCCTAAGTCAGAAACCTGATCCTAGCTCATTTCACTGGATGACCAACATTTTAACACTAGAATGAACTAAATTATTTTCTTTAGAAGTTTCAGTTATTTTTGGCCAGGCATGGTGGCTCACGCCTGTAATCCCAGCACTTTGGGAGGCCAAGGGGGGCGGATCATGAGGTCAAGAGATCGAGACCATCCTGGCTAACATGGTGAAACCCCATCTCTATTAAAAATATAAAAATTAGGCCGGGCATGGTGGCTCAAGCCCGTAATCCCAGCACTTTGGGAGGCCAAGGCAGGTGGATCATGAGGTCAGGGGTTTGAGACCATCCTGGCCAACATGGTGAAACCCCGTCTCTACAAAAAATACAAAAATAGGCCAGGCGCGGTGGCTCACACCTGTAATCCCAGCACTTTGGGAGGCCGAGGTGGGCGGATCACGAGGTCAGGAGATCAAGACCATCCTGGCTAACACAGTGAAACCCCGTCTCTACTAAAAATACAAAAAATTAGCTGGGCGTGGTGGCAGGCGCCTGTAATCCCAGCTACTCAGGAGGCTGAGGCTGGAGAATGGCGTGAACCCAGGAGGTGGAGCTTGCAGTGAGCCGAGATCGCGCCACTGCACTCCAGCCTGGGCGACAGAGTGAGACTCTGTCTCAAAAAAAAAGAAAACAAAATACAAAAATAGCCGGGTATGGTGGTGTGTGCCTATAATCCCAGCTATTCGGGAGTCTGAGGCAGGATAATCACTTGAACCTGGGAAGCAGAGGTTGCAGTGAGCCTAGATTGTGCCATTGCACTCCAGCCTGGGTGACAGAGCGAGACGCCGTCTCAAAAAAAAAGGAGTTTCAGTTATTTTCTTTTCTTGCTATATCCTCAGGACAAACCTGATAGGTTTCTCACTCACACATCATTGGCTATGTGATTAGTTTTGTGATAAGTACAATGGCACAATTCTTAAATTCTTGTATTATAGCAATAAATCTCATTTTCCATGTAAAGTGTCAGTGGAACTAAGAATGATTTATGATAGTAAACATCAAAATGATCGTATTTTAATAAATTTCCACAGATTCATCCAGTTTAAAAAACCTTTCTTGATTTCAGGTGTTTTCTCTCCTTCTCCTTGATCAAGGTTATTTGGGTTTCTATCTGTGACTTCTTTTGTTTTTATAAGGGTCTCGTATATTTTCTGGGCTCTGACAATTTCTTTCTGAGCATCAAAATGGACTTTTTGCCTGGTCAGGATGGGAACAATTAAATTAAAATCATTAATTCGCTTGTTTAATTTTCTGATGTTTTCTTGAAACTGCTCACAAACATGGTTCCACTGTTTCTTTTCAGTTGGTGTCATTGGATTCCCAAGTTTTTTCCTAGACACTAAAATTGCCTCTCTGAGTTGCTCAATAGTATCGCTTATTTCCTTTTGCTTAAGGATCCATTCTGGTTGGTATCCATTATCGATCAGTATTCGGTTCAGGTTGTGAGTCATGGGATCAATGTAAGAACAGTCAGAAAACTTTTTCAGAGGTTTTCCTTTCCCACTGAGATTGTCAAAGTCTCCTTTTGCCATGGATTCTTGAATGAGGTCCTCCACTAAACGTTCTATAGCTTGCGTTATCTTTTGCTGTTTGCTCTGTCTTATATTTTTAACAATTACACTATCAGGAAAATACTGGCTTTGTAGTTTCTGCTTTTGATATTCCATCACTTGTTCAGCAGCACGGTCTGCCCTAAATTGCCTATAATGCTTCTCTCGTTGAGTTGGAGTCCCAAAACCAATACCTTCAAAACTTAAATAATGTCGGTGTTGGGGTGTTTTATATTTGAATTTTTCTACATCTTCTTCTTCTTCACCTTTACTCTGACTGGCATTTGTTTGTTCTATCACATGGGAGAGCACCTTTCTATAAGCTTTTTCAATCCTTATAAATGTTGCAGAATCAGCAGTATTAGAGCCACTGTCAGGATGATATTGCTTGGCAAGCTTATGAAAAGATTCCCTGACTTCATCTGCAGAGCATCCTTCCTCCACGTTCAGCAGTCTATAATATTCTCTGATCTTCTTTTTGGATTTATGGGTTGACATCATTCTATTTCTAATGATACCAAAATATGGAAGCATTTTCACTCGATTAGGAATCACTGTAGCCTTTATCAGGTGAGATCTTAAGATCTGAGCCATCATCACATACATTGTATTCATTATTGTACCCAGAGTTCTTCCTAGCAATGACCTATAAAACGACAACAAATATAGGTTGAACAAAGTTGTATTATCAGTTAATTTCTTATTTTCAGCAATAAGGTAAAAGATACAGCATGAATTTATAAGTACAACAAGGGGCAGTTCTTTTGAATGCTGCTGTCAACTTTTTCCTTTTTTTTTTTTTTTTGAGACAGAGTCTCGCTCTGTCACCCAGGCTGGAGTGCAGTGGTGCCTCCACCTCCAGAGCCACGCCTAGCTAATTTTTTTGTATTTTTAGTAGAGAAGGGGTTTCACCATATCGCCCAGGCTGGTCTGGATATCCTGACATGGTTATCTGCCCGCCTCGGCCTCCCAAAGTGCTGGGATTACAGGTATGAGCCACTGCGCTCAGCCTTTTTTTTTTTTTTTTTTTGTCTGAGACAGGGTCTTGCTCTGTTGCCCATGCTGGAGTGCAGTGGCACAATCGTGGCTCACTGCAGCATCAACCTCCTGGGCTGAAGTGATCCTCCCACCTCTGCCTCTCATGTTGCTAGGACTACAGGCGTGCACCACCACACCTGGCTAATTTCTGTATTTTTGTAGGGATGGGGTTTCGTCATGTTGCCCACCCTGGTCTCCAACTCCTGAGCTCAAACGATCTGCCAGTTTCTGCCTCCCAAAGTGCTGGGATTATAGGGGTGAGCCACTGTGCCCAGCCACATTCTTTTTTCTTTTCTTTTCTTTTCTTTTTTTTTTTTTTGAGACAGAGTCTCACCCAGGCTGGAGTGCAATGGCATGATCTCGGCTCACTGCAACCTCTGCCTCCCGGGTTCAAGCGATTCTCCTGCCTCAGCCTCCCAAGTAGCTGGGATTACAGGTGCACGACACCACTCCTGGCTAATTTTTGTATTTTTAGTAGAGACGGCGTTTCACCGTGTTAGCCAGGATGGTCTCGATCTCCTGACCCTGTGATCTGCCCGCCTCGACCTCCCAAAGTGCTGGGATTACAGGCGTGAGCCACCGCACCCAGCCCCACCAGCTGCATTCTTATAGCTATATTTCACTGATGTGGGCAGAAAAGTGGAAGCTGATGAAGTTTAGTGTTAACATATTGTGGGGCCAGGCACGGTGGCACACGCCTGTAATCCCAGTACTTTAGGAGGCCGAGGTGGGTGGATCACCTGAGGTCAGGAGTTCGAGATCAGCCTGGCTAACATGGCAAAACCCTGTCTCTACTAAAAATACAAAAATTAACTGGAGGTTGCAGTCCCAGCTACTCGGGAGGCTGAGGCAAGAGAATCGCTTGAACCCGGGAGGTGGAGGTTGCAGTGAACCGAGATCGTGCCACTGCACTCCAGCCTGGGCAACAGAGTGAGACTCTGTCTCAAAAAAATATAGATAGATAGAATCTGGATTCTACCCCTCACTAACTAACCGTATATTTTACAAGTGGAAAGTTCTTAGAGATCATCTAATCCAATCTTCTCATTTAATGAGAAAACGTAGGTCCGGAAGGTTAAGCAATTTAACCAAGTCCCATAACAAGGTGTAAGCAAAATGGTTAGGGGTGGGCACAGTAAAAAAGGAGGCTTGCTTAACTGTCTATACCTCCAGCCGATTATAAACTGCACGAGAGTCTGCATCATCTCAAGAAGTCTTCTCATAAGACGACTTATGGACAAGGTACGTACCTGGTCTGATACTGGATTGAATAGAATCAAGTGTCCAAAAGACTTTAAGCTCCACAGCTCGCTAGGAAGGAGCTATCTGCCAGAGGCCAGAAAAACCATGATGAATTGTGAGGCCTCCCAACACGTTTGCTGCTATTGCAATAACATGGTCTCGAAGAGGAGGAAGACTTGTACACTGACAATGGCCAAAAAATACTGGAAGTGGCTTAATTGGAATTGGGATATATAAACGCTAAAACGGAGCTCCTGAGACCCCCTATTTTCTAGGCAATCGGTGCCAACGGTCTGGGAGCCGGCTGCGAAGGTGGTTATCATGGCAAGGGAGGTCGGTCCTGCCCCGCCCCCTCCTCACCTGCGCAGACCTGGGGTAGGGGTTCCGCGGCTCCCGCCCCCCTGCCGCGCCTCTGCGCATGCGTGCGCGGTCCGCCCTTCACTGCGGGTGTCCCTCCCACCGCCTCCAGCTGGTGCCTCCGCCGGGCTAGACCATTTGCCACTTTACACTGAGGGGCTCGGGGGTACGGAAGGCAGAATCGTACCTGATTGGGACAGGTGACCTTACCAGGAAAACGGACAATCTTCCGCCAAACGAACTTTACCCCGGAGGACCCAGGCAGGGCACCTCGGGAGCCTTCGTCCCGACCGGGGACCACCAGCTCCACCTCCGTCCCCGCCCCGAGCGGAGGTGGTCCGGCCGATTGGGATTGTGGGAGATGTAGTTCGCTAGAAGGGGCGATGTGCGCCTGCGCCTCTCGGGAGGGACTTAGGGGGCGTCGAAAATGATGTAAAGACCGAGTTGGCGGCGTGGGGAGTTGTGGCTCGGAGGGCGAGGGTAACTTTCTGGGGGCAGGGGAAGGCAAGGCTGTTTCCCCGGAACGGGACCGGAACAGGTTTATTCGGGGTCACAGAAGGAGTCACCTGCGCAGATACATGAGGCTTAAAACCTGCCCTTTTATTAATTCAAGTACTGTTGAGGGGCTGGCGACAGGCCAGAGGACAAAATCAAAATAGGGATCTTCTGGCTTGGAGTTCAACCACTGACGTGGGGACTGAGCATTTCCCCTCTCTGTACAGGAAGCAAGTTTTTTAACAAGGAAAAAGAAAAAGGATAAAAAGAAAAAGGCAGAGGCTTGGGAGTTTTCAGATCTGGGTTGAAAATCCTGTTTCTTCTGCTTGCACCTTAGGCAAGATACCTGCAAAATGAGAGTTGCAATAAATAGTAAACTATAGTAAATAGTATGCCATTGTGCTAAGTGCTTTATGTATATTCTCATTTACTTTTTTTTTTTTTTTTTTGAGACAGAGTCTCGCTCTGTCGCCCAGGCTGGAGTGTGGTGGCGCGATCTCGGCTCGCTGCAACCTCCACCTCCCGGGTTTAAGCTATTCTCCTGCCTCAGCCTCCCGAGTAGCTGGAATTACAGGCGCGCACCACCATGCCCAGCTAATTTTTTTGTATTTTTAGTGGAGACCAGGTTTCACCATGTTGG
Source organism: Homo sapiens (assembly GCF_000001405.40). NCBI lineage: Eukaryota > Metazoa > Chordata > Mammalia > Primates > Hominidae > Homo > Homo sapiens. Next base: position 96,680 of record NW_003315970.2, read on the forward strand.
CCAGGCTGGTCTCGAACCCCTGAGCTAAGGTGATCTGCCTGCCTCGGCCTTTCAAAGTGCTGGGATTACAGGCATTCATTTAATCTTTACAACAGCCCTCTGAGATAAATGCTGTTATTTTCCCTATTTTACATATAATGAAATAATAATTGTATCAACTTCATTGACTTTTTTAGGGGGAGAATTACACAATGTATGTAAACCACTTGGCACTGTGCCTCGCACATTAAGCAATATTTTTTGTTATGACTGTGTCTCCTAAAAGGAGCCAGAAATAGGTATTAGCCTCCTCAGCTTCTACATCATAAACATTAGAATCATTTATTGCCATCTATGTAGGAACACAGAAAAAGATACAGTATAAACTCTGATTCTGAGGGCTTTAGTTATAAGCAAACAATCAACAAAATAACTCATGTGAAAGAAAATAGGATTTCTGGCCGGGCGCGGTGCTCACGCCTGTAATCCCAGCACTTTGGGAGGCCGAGGCGGGCGGATCACGAGGTCAGGAGATCGAGACCATCCTGGCTAACACGGTGAAACCCCGTCTCTACTAAAAATACAAAAAATTAGCCAGGTGTGGTGGCGGGCGCCTGTAGTCCCACCTGCTCGGGAGTCTGAGGCAGGAGAATGGCGTGAACCCGGGAGGCGGAGCTTGCAGTGAGCCTAGATCGTGCCACTGCACTCCAGCCTGGGCGACAGAGCCAGACTCCGTCTAAAAAAAAAAAGACCTGGCCACTAAAAAATTTTTAAAAAGAAAAATAAGGCCAGACGCAGTGCTCACGCCTGTAATCTCAGCACTTTGGGAGGCTGAGGCAGGTGGATAACCTGAGGTCGGGAGTTTGAGACCAGCCTGACCAACACGGAAAACCCCCATCTCTCTAAAAATACAAAAAATTAGATGGGCGTGGTGGCGCATGCCTGTAATCCCAGCTACTCGGGAGGCTGAGGCAGGAGAATCGTTTGAACCCTGGAGGTGGAGGTTGCAGTGAGCTGAGATTGCGCCACTGCACTCCAGCCCAGGTGACAGTGCGAGACACTGTCTCAAAAAAAAAAAAAGCCACCAAGCAAAACTTCCTAAAAGTTGCCAGTAGCCATCCCCCTCTTCTGCTTCCAGGCCCAGTAAGGTGCCTTATATCTCTCAATCTCATCCTTCTCCCAGCCTTGCTTCTAAATGCACTCCAAGGCCAGGCACAGTGGCTCATGCCTGTAATCCCAGCCCTCTGGGAGGCCCAGGTGGGAGGATCACTTGAGCCTAGGGATTTGAACCAACCTGGGCAACATAGGGAGACCCCATCTCTATTTATTTAAAAAAAAAGTAAAATTAAAATACACTCCAAGTGTCAACACTTCACGCAGAAAACAGAAATGTTGAAGTTAGCCTTGCTTCCCCAGCTGCTCAAGGACCTTTTGAAATCTTCAACTGAGTGCCCAGCGAAGGCTGGGGAAGGGGCGGGGACTGTCCATCCTCCTTCCCAATACCAGTGGTTTATCAGTGTATTCAGCCCACAAAGCAAGTCCCTTCTCTAGGTACAGGGGAAAATTTCATTAGTAAAAAAATAAGAATTTTCCCCTTCAATCCATTAAAATTATAAAAATACATAAAACAAGATAGAAATGACAGAATGTTCTCAATAAATTGACCATATAAAAGGCCATACTCTGGCTGGGCACGGTGGCTCACGCCTGTAATCCCAGCACTTTGGGAGGCCGAGGTGGGCAGATCACGAGGTCAGGAGATCGAGACCATCCTGGCTAACACAGTGAAACCCTGTCTCTACTAAAAGCACAAAAAATTAGCCAGGCATGGCACCGGGCAACTGTAGTCCCAGGTACTCTGGAGGCTGAGGCAGGAGAATGGCATGAACCCAGAAGCAGAGCTTGCAGTGAGCCGAGATCGCGCCACTGCAATCCAGCCTGGGCAACAGTGCAAGACTCCGTCTCAAAAAAAAAAAAAAAAAAAAGGCCATACTCATCCTCAGAGATTGCAACCAAACGATACATTAATTAATTTAAAAAATGTTTTAAAGGTTATATTCAGCCTAAGAATGATTCACACAAACTTTTTTTTTTTTTTTTTGAGACGGAGTCTTGCTCTGTCGCCCAGGCTGGAATGCAGTGGCACGATCTCAGCTCACTGCAACCTCCACCTCCCAGGTTCAAGCAATTCTCCTGCCCCAGCCTCGCGAGTAGCTGGGATTACAGGCGCGCACCACCACACCCAGCTAATTTTGTATTTTTAGTAGAGACAGGGTTCTGCCTTGTTGGTCAGGCTGGTCTCGAACCCCTGACCTCAAATGATCCACCTAGGGCTCCCAAAGTGCTGGGATTACAGGTGTGAGCCACTGCACCTAGCCCACACAAACTTTGGAATCTTGATTACCTCTGAAAATCTTCGGGTAGACGGGGGAGTGTCCCAAGATTTTCATTTTGAACCACTGTTCATAATAGGAAGAATAAAGTCAAATTACAGAGAGAGAAATAAATTATGAAAGATTCCATGCTATAGACCAGTGCCGTGGCACATACCTGTGGTCTCAGCTACTCAGGAGGTAGGAGGATCGCTTGAGCCCAGGAGTTTGAGGCTTCAGTGAGCTATAATCGTGCCACTGTTATTCCCGCCTGGGTGATAGGTGAGACCCTGTCTCTTAAAAAAAAGAAAGAAAAACGAAAGAAAGAAACAGTGCAGTCATAAAAGAGAATGAGATCATGTCTTTTGCGGGAACATGGATGGAGCTGGAGGCCATTATTCTCAGCAAACTAACGCAGAAACAGAAAACCAAACACTGCATGTTCTCACTTATAAATGGGAGCTACATGATGAGAACTTAGGAACACAAGGAAACAACAGACACTGGGGTCTGCTTGAGGTGGGAGGGTGGGAGGAGGGAGCGGAGGAAAACAGAGAGCTATTGGGTACTGGGCTAAATACCTGCATGATGAAGTAATCTGTACACCAACCCCCCATGACATAAGTGCACCTATGTACCCCTTATAGGTGTAAGCCACCGCGCCCGGCCAGTAATTACAATAAGGAGACGCTATGTACAGTTGTCTCCCTCCAGATGACCTGGTCACTTCTCCACTCTTTGGGCTAAATTGTGCCCCCCATGTTGAAGCCCTAACCCCCAGTACTTTAGAATGTGACTGCATTTGGAGATAAGTTATTTAAAGAGGTGATTAAGTTAAAATGAGGCTGTTAAAGTGGGTGATAATCCAATCTGACTGACATCCTTATAAAAGGAGGAAATTTGGCCCCAGAGAGACATCAGGGTTGTGCACACACTGAGCAACGTCCCTGTGAGGACACAGAAAGAAGGCAGCCATCTGCCGGCCAAGGAGAGGCCTCAGGAGAAACCCACTCTGCAGACACCTTGACCTTGGACTTCCAGTCTCCACGACTGTGGGAGAATAATGGTCTCCCGTAGTTGAAGACCCAGTCTGTGGTGCTTTGTCACATCAGCCCCACCAGACCAACACAGCAGGTGTCTTTGATCCTTATACATCCCTTCAGTAGGTCCCAGGGATTTGTGTTACCCAAAATGTTTCCTCCCAGATGGAAAACTCTGAAAGCAGGTGGAAGCTTTCCCCCTCATTTTCCTCTTGCTGAACACACCCCTGCCCTGCAGGACCAGCTGTGGGCTGCTGCCTCCTGCTTTCCTCTTTCGAAGTCATTCTGCCAACTTGGAGATTTGGATTTGGGTGAGATGTGCTGGGGGTGGGATGTGGGGCAGAGTCTCCCCATCCGAAGAAAGGAGTTTCTGATCCTGGGATTTCGGATTTGCTGAAGGGTGCTTGTGCGGGTGGCACTGACTTTTCTCTCTTCTTGCTGTAGTTGGCCTCTAAGAGAAAGGCACCAGAAGCTCGTTCTCCGCTCTTTGAGACACCTTTCTTCAAGCTTCACAGCGTCCCTCTCTCTCTCTCCTGGGTCCCCCTACTGCACAGCCTACTCATACCCAGTGTCCTTGGCTGGCTCCGCCCTTCTCATGCAATTGGTGCTCTCAGATTCCACACCTCTACATTATGTTCATTATCTACTCTCCCTTGCCAATGCCAACGCCAATGCCTAAACCTCCTCCTCGAAGCTAATGACTGACCCCACAGTGGTGTCACAGTGTTGAATACAGGAATCCCTCAAGGTGTACAAAGAAGTCCCACCTCCCCTCTAAGTATCATCCCTCCCTCAATTTGCAAAAGAAAGGCACACCCCTCATTTACCCCAGACTGTTAACACCTTCCAGGCAGCAAAGGTGCAACTGAAAAGGTTGATTTACTGTGGGTGCTGAAGAAGGAAAATTAATCCTTTACAGATTGGATGGTTTGGCCAGGTGTAATGGTTCACCCCTCTAATCTCAGAACTTTGGGAGGTTAAAGGGGGAGGATTGCTTGAGTGTAGAAGTTCGAGAGCAGCCTGGACAACACAATGAGACCCTAACTCTACAAAATACAAAAATTAGCCAGGCATGGTGGCATGAGACTGTAGTCCCAGCTAATCAGGAGGCTGAGGTGTGAGAATCACTTGAGCCCAGAAGGTCAAGCCTGCAGTGTGCCGTGATCATGCCAGCGCACTTCAGCATGGGTGACAGAGCAAGACTCTGTCTAAAAAAAAAAAAGGCCGGGCGTGGTGGCTCACACCTGTAAACCCAGCACTTTGGGAGGCCGAGACGAGCGGATCATTTGAGGTCAGGAGTTCGAGACCAGCCTGACCAAAATGGTGAAACCCCCGTCTTTATTAAAAAATACAAAAATTAGCTGGGAGTGGTGGCAGTCGCCTGTAATCTCAGCTACTCGGCAGACTGAGGCAGGAGAATCACTTGAACCCAGGAGGCGGAGGTTGCAGTGAGCCAAGATCACGCCACTGCACTAGAGCCTGGGCAACAGAGTGAGACTCCCTCTCAAAAAAAAAAAAAAAAAAAAAAAGTTGCGTGGTTTCCAATACTTGGTTTTCAACAAAAGTGAAGGAGGATCTAATAGACTCCTCAGCTGAATATTTCATTTGAAATGATTTTCAGTGGTAGATTTTCCTGGTGCATATAACTGAAGCATTCAAGGAGTTGAGTGATATTGTTATAACAACTATTTTTTTTTCCTGTGACTTTCTGGAGTTTGGTGATGTCGGAAATTTAAAATGCTGTTTGGGGCCAGGTGCGGTGGCTCATGCCTGTAATCCCAGCACTTTGGGAGGCTGAAGTGGGCGGATCACCTGAGGTCAGGAGTTCGAGACCAGACTGGCCAACATGGTGAAACCCTGTCTCTACTGAAAATATAAAAATTAGCTGGGAGTCCGGGCATGGTGGCTGTTTGTAATCCCAGAACTTTGGGAGGCCAAGGCCGGCAGATCACCTGAGGTCGGGAGTTCGAGACCAGCCTGACCAACATGGAGAAACCCCATCTCTACTAAAAATACAAAAATTAGCTGGGCGTGGTGGCGCGTGCCTGTAATCCCAGCTACCTGGGAGGCTGAGGCAGGAGAATCACTTGAACCCGGGAGGCATAGGTTGCAGTGAGCTGAGATCTTGCCACTGCACTCCAGTCTGGGCGACAGAGCTAGACTCCGTCTCAACAAAACAAAAAACAAAACAAAACAAAACAAAAAAAAGCCTGGGTGTGGTGGCTCACGCCTGTAATCCCAGCAATTTGGGAGGCCGAGGCAGGTGGATCACGAGGTCAGGAGTTAGAGACCAGCCTGGCCAAGATGGTGAAACCCCATCTCTACTAAAAATACAAAAATTAGCCGGGCGTGGTAGCGGGTTCCTGTAATCCCAGCTACTTGGGAGGCTGAGGCAGAGAATTGCTTGAATCGGGGAGGCAGAGTTTGCAGTGAGCCGAGATTGCACCACTGCACTCCAGCCTTGGTGACAGAGTGAGACTCTGACTCAAAAAAAAAAAAAAAATTGTTGTTGAGGTTTCAGTGTCCACAGATATTTCAATTCATGAAACTTTCATTTTATAAAGCAAAATCAACTTGTAATATTAAAATCTTCACATCTTTATTGCAATGCTCAGAATACAGGTGGCTCAGGAGTTAGCTTCTTAAATAAGTTTACACATGAGGATTATCAGGTTAACAGATGGGGGATTTGAGGATTAGGCTTGCTACTGAGTCTTTAATATGATTTCTGTTACAAAGCCTGGAAGTTGGAAGTTCTACCTATATTCATTTAAAAGACTTCATGTTCTGAATGTGAAGCATGTTCAATGTACTCGTTGTATTTAAAAAAACTATGAATCAAATTTTTTATAAAAAAAGATTTTTTTTTTTTTTTTTAGGCCAGGCGCGGTGGCTCATGCCTATAATCCCAACACTTTGGGAGGCCGAGGTGGGCAGATTGCTTGAGGTGGGGAGTTCCAGACCAGCCTGGCCAGCATAGTGAAACCCCGTCTCTACTAAAAGTACAAAAATTAGCTGGGCATGGTGGTAAACACCTATAATCTCAGCTATTCAGGAGGCTGAAGCAGGAGAATCCCTTGAACCCGGGAGGCAGAGGTTGCAGTAAGCTGAGATCGCGCTACTCCACTCCAGCCTGGGTAACAGAGTGAAACTCCATCTGAAAAAGAAAAAAAATTGATTTGTTTTTTTTGAGTGACAGACAAGTTGGGTCTCTCCTTTTGGGAAACAGTTTTAGAGATATAATTCATATGCCATGCAATCATGAATTTGACATGTACATTCAATGGCTTTCAGTACATTCTTGTGGTTGTGCAACTATCACTGCAATCAATTCTAGAACATTTTCATCACTCAAACAAAAACCCCTGTACCCTTTTTTTGTCACCCCAAATACCTCTATCCACCTTAGGCAACAACTAATCTATTTTCTGTCTTCTGGATTTGCCTATTCTGGACATTTCCTTATTAAATGTTATTCATTATTATTAGGATTTTTTTTTTTTTTTTTTTGAGACAGAGTCTTGCTCTGCCACTCAGGCTGAAGTGCAATGGTGCCATCTCGTCTCACTGCAACCTCCACCTCCCAGGTTCCAACGATTCTCCTGCTTCACTCTCCCAAGTAGCTGGGATTAGAGGCACCTGCCACCATGCCCAGCTAATTTTTGTATTTTTAATAGAGACGGGATTTCACCATTTTGGCCAGGCAGGTCTTGAACTCCTGACCTCAAGTGATCCGCCTGCCTCGACCTCCCAAAGTGCTGAGATTACAGGCGTGAGCCACCGTGCTCGGCCTCAGTTATTATTATTAGTTTTAGAGACAGGGTCTCACTTTGTTGCCCAGGCTGGAGTGTAGTGGCATGATCTCAGCTCGATTGCACTCAACCTCCTAGGCTCAAGTGATCCTCCCACCTCAGCCTCCCAAGTAGCTGGGACTACATGTGTGTGCCACCACACCTGGCTAATTTTTTTTTTTTTTTTTGAGACGAAGTTCCCCTCTGTCGCCCAGGCTGGAGTGCAGTGGCGTGATCTCGGCTCACTGCAACCTCCGCCTCCAGGGCTCAAGCAGTCCTCCTGCAGGCTTCAGCCTCCCGAGGAGCTGGGACTACAGGCACATGCTCCATGCCTGGCTAATTTTTGTATTTTTAGTAGAGATGGGGTTTCAGCATGTTGGCCAGGCTGGTCTCAAACTCCTGACCTCAAGTGGTCCACCCACCTCGGCCTCCCAAAGTGTTGGGATTACAGGCGTGAGCCACCGCGCCCGGCCCTTTCTTTCTTCTACTTCTTATTATTTTTGAGACAAGGTCTCACTCCGTCACCCAGGCTGGAGTGCAGTGGTGTAATCCCAGCTCAATGCAACCTCCACCTTCCAGGTTCAAGTGGTTCTCCTGCTTCAGCTTCCAGAGTAGCTGGGATTACGGGCAAGGGCCACCATGCCCGGCTAATTTTTGTATTTTTAGTAGAGATGGCATTTCACCATGTTGGCCTGGCAGGTCTCGAACTCCTGACCTCAAGTGACCCCCCTGCCTCATCCTCCCAAAGTGCTGGAATATAGGCCTGAGCCACCGCACATAGCCACACCTGGCTAATTTTTATATTTTATTCTTTGTAGAAATGGTTTCTTGCTATGTTGCCTAAGCTGGTCTGGAACTCCTGGACTCAAGCAATCTTCCCTCCTCGGCCTCCCAAAGTGCTGGGATTACAGGTGTATGGTACTGCACCCAGCCTGGACATTTCATATAAATAGAACTGTATAATATGTGGTCTTTTTTTTTTGAGACAGAGTCTCACTCTGTCACCAGGCTGGAGTGCAGTGGCACGATCTTGGCTCACTGCCACCTCCGCCTCCTAGGTTCAAGCAATTCTCCTGCCTCAGCCTCCTGAGTAGTTGGGACTACAGGCGCGCACCACCACGCCCAGCTTATTTTTTATTTTTATTTTTTCTTCTTTTTTCTTTTTTGAGACGGAGTCTCGCTCTGTCACCCAGGCTGGAGTGCAGTGATGCGATCTTGGCTCACTGCAAACTCTGCCTCCCGGGTTCACGCCATTCTCCTGCCTCAGCCTCCCGAGTAGCTGGGACTACAGGCGCCCGCCACCACGCCTGGCTAATTTTTTGTACTTTTTTAGTAGAGACGGGGTTTCACCATGTTGCCATGAAACATTTAATAAGGAAATCTCGATCTCCTGACCACGTGATCCGCCCGCCTCGGCCTCCCAAAGTGCTGGGATTACAGGCGTGAGCCACCAGCACCCAACCGCTTATTTTTATTTTTAGTAGAAATGGGGTCTCACCATGTTGGCCAGGATGGTCTCGATCTCATGACCTGGTTATCTGCCTGCCTCAGCCTCCCAAAGTGCTAGGATTACAGGCATGAGCCACCGAGACCAGCCAGTCTTTTTTTTTGGTGTTGTTGTTGTTGTTGAGAAAACGTCTTACTCAGGCTGGAGTACAGTTGTGCGATCACAGCTCACTGAAACTTCGACCTCCTGAGCTCAAGGAATCCTCCTACCTCAGCCTCCCAAGTAGCTGGGACTACAGGTGTGTGCCACCATGCCTAATTTTTGTTTTATTTGTAGTGATGGGGGTCTCACTATGTTGTCCAGGCTGGTCTTGAACTCCTGGGCTCAACTGATCCTCCTACCTGGGCCCCCCGTGCTGGAATTACAGGTGTGAGCCACCATGCCTGGCCGCATGTGGTCATTTATGACTGAATTCTTTTTTTTTTTTTTTTTTGAGACGGAGTCTCGCTCTATTGGCAGGCTGGAGTGCAGGGGCGTTAGCTCACTGCAACCTCCGCCTCCCGGATTCAAGCAATTCTCCTGCCTCAACCTCCCTAGTAGCTAGGACTACAGGTGCACACCACCACGCCCAGCTAATTTCTGTATTTTTATTAGAGACAGGGTTCCACCATGTTGGCCAGGATGGTCTTGATCTCTTGACCTCGTGATCCGCCTGCCTCGGCCTCCCAAAGTGCTGGGATTACAGAGCTGAGCCACTGCACCTGGCCCTGAATTCTTTCACTTAGCATAATACTTCAAGGTTCACCCACACTGTAGCATGTGTTAGTATTTCATTCCTTTTTATAATTGAATAGTATTCAATGTATGGATATATTTATCCATATATTTATCAGTTCATTTGCTGATGAACATTTGCATTGTCTCCACTTATGAATCAGTTTTTAACTGTTAATTAACATTTGGCTCCAGATAAAGGAAAATGATCTAACACTGTGGTAAATGTAAAATTTACATGGCTTGTGAAAGAATGGCTGTCAGAGATGGTCTCTTTTAAACAGTGGAGGAGGCAAATGTATGCATTAGAATTGCTGAAAAACACTTTGGGAGGTAAAGACAATTTTGGTTTTAAAAAGGCCAAAGGAGGGCCGGGTGCGGTGGCTCACGCCTGTAATCCCAGCACTATGAGGGCCAAAGCAGGCAGATCAAATGAAGTCAGGAGTTGGAAACCAGCCTGGCCAGCATGGTGAAACCCCGTCTCTACCACAAATACAAAATGAGCCGGGTGTCGTAGTGCATGCCTGTAATCCTAGCTACTCAGGAGGCTGAGGCAGGAGAATCACTTGAACCCGGGAGGCAGAGGTTGCAGTGAGCTGAGATCTTGCCACTGCACCCCAGCCTGGGTGACTGAGTGAGACTGTCTCATCAAAACAACTATATGAATGATATTTGCCTACTTTAATTGACAAGGGAATAGAGAGACACAGTGGATGAGAAATGTGCCTAAAGTTTTATGCTTGAATCTAAAAGCCACCAACTCTCCCCCTAATCCTCTAGTGACTTGCAGAGAAGTATGGATCTTTATAAACCACAGGATAATTAAACTTTACTGAAGCTAAAATCTGGGGATTACAGAAACTGTCAATAATTAGAGGAACGTTTAATGATACTTCAAAGCATAAAGGATACTATCCTTCAGAAATGGGAGCTATCCAGAAATCTTAACACACCAGATTATGATCACGATGGTCGGAAAAGTCTCAAATCAGCTATACAATATAAGGAAGAGATACTGCCTTGTTAGACTTGGGGAAGAGATAGTCACTTGACACTGATCAGAAGGAGGCTGGGCAACTTTTACACACCGGAATCTATAACCAAGATTATAAACGGAACCCAGGTGATACACTTGGGTTTGTCCTCATGTTTCTTTTCCTCATTTTAACTCAGATACATCCAGCAGTCATGGCTTCAAAAGCATATGATCAAAGATCAGAAAACCCATAACTTATTTATTTATTTATTTATTTATTTATTTATTTATTGAGATGGAGTCTCGCTCTGTCGCCCGGGCTGGAGTGCGGTGGCATGATCTCAGCTCACTGCAAGCTCTGCCTCCCGGGTTCACGCCATTCTCCTGCCTCAGCCTCCCAAGTAGCTGGGACCACAGGCGCCCGCCACCACACCCAGGATAATTTTTTTTTTTTTTTTTTTTTGTATTTTTAGTAGAGACGGGGTTTCACCGTGTTAGCCAGGATGGTCTCGATCTCCTGACCTCGTGATCTGCCCGCCTCAGCCTCCCAAAGTACTGGGATTACAGGTGTGAGCCACCGCACCCAGCCCATTATTATTTTTTGAGACAAGTCTCGCTCTGTTGCCCAGGCTGGAGTGCAGTGGCATGATCTTGGCTCACTGCAACCTCCACTTCCTGGGTTCAAGCGATTCTCCTGCCTCAGCCACCCGAGTAGCTGGGATTACAGGTGCGTACCACCACACCCAGCTAACTATTTTTTGTATTTTTAGTAGAGATGGGATTTCACTGTGTTAGCCAGGATAGTCTCGATCTCCTGACCTCATGATCCGCCTGCCTCGGCCTCCCAAAGTGCTGGGATTACAGGCGTGAGCCACTGTGCCCAGCTGAAAACATAAAACTTATAAACATGGAGGTGATTCATCATGTTGTCAGGCAATACCAAAAAAAAAAAGAGGGGGTGACGGTTAGAAAAAGAGCATAAAAAAGACCAAGAAAACTGTATGTCTCAGATATGCTGCACTAACTAGTCTTGTTTTTAGTGAGTCTCTATTTATTAAAAAAATAGATGAAGTAAGGGTGAGGTCTTTTTTGTCTTTTAGCAGTTTTTCTTTTGGGCCAAGTCCATGATAAAAAACCACCATGCAAACAGCAAATAATTCTTTCTAAACTGGCCCCATTTCTGAATTAAAAGGCTTCATTCCTCTTTAACCCAACAGATCTTGCCATTTTCTCCAAGCTGTACAGTTCCACTGGCCACCAGCTGAAGGGCTGCAGGAAATATTTTATGTTCTGCTAATTTTACTCTTTCAGAAAGAGTTGCGACAGTATCACCCCTCTTCACGGGAACAGCTTCTTGCAAAATAATCTGTCCAGCATCCACATCTTCCTGGAAAAGTAAGCAAAAGTTTTGAACATTACCTTCTAGCCAGTGTCATTTACATCTGACTACTAATATTATGTTGGTAGAAAAAGACATACTCACAGCTACAAAGTGTACAGTGCACCCAGTAACTGTGACTCCGGTTTCCAGGGCTTGCTCATGGGCATTTGAACCCTTAAAAGAAGGGAGCAAGGATGGGTGGATATTGAGCATTTTTCCTAAAAATTAAAAAAAGCATAGTGGTCAGAATTTAAAAATCCTGGGTATTCTGTTAAAGGAATACGTTTTCCTATCTAGATCCGAAGTCAAACAGGAGTTGGATTTCTGGGATGGATGTTTTCTTTGCCAAACACAGAAATGAGGTAAAAGTAAGTTCTCATCCAAGAAGGCCCTGGAAGCAGCAAGTACCCGCCTTGCACAGTTAAAGGCATGCTGGGGTGCTCTGAACAGACATTCATGGTGACAGGAAGGTGGGGAGTTCAAGCTGAATACCAGCTTGTTGCTGGCACGTACTATTAAAAATAAGCAAGAGGTTCTTACATAGCATCTATGTGCTTGACTTCTAACCACAAAGTGACCTGTCCACCAGACAGATGCTAGATTAGTTCTGTGTGGCTCATGTCACCAAAGGCATTGTCTATTTTATATCACACCACAAGTGCTCTAACTACATTCACCTAAGAATACATAAACTCTTTGGAGGGAAAATGCATTTATTGACCAACTGTGTGCACACATACACAAACAGGATGCAGTCAAGGCTTTTGGGAAGAAGGCAGTAACATAGATAGTATGTGTTTTCTGGCAATAACCTCCTCCTTGCCAACTCCTGGCAATGGTCTATGCTTCCTAAGAGAGGATGGACTCTTCATTTTGGGATATACGGAATCACTCTCTTTTGCTTCCAAACAAATAAAGGAAGGTCTTCTGAATATTTATTCAAAAGATGAAATATTATCTTTGCAGTAATGTGAAACAAAACTAAGCTACATTAGAAAAAGTGATTAATTACAGCAAGCCAAAGTAAATGGATAGAGAGCAGGTTAATAAATCATCATTGGGTCATTCTTTAGTGTAAAACAAAGGAAATTAAACTGTGACCTGTGTTAAAGTATTAATAAAATATCACAGTCAAACAGGAGTTGGATTTCTGGGATGGGTGTTCACTACTGGGATTGTTTGGCAAGTTATCTGTTCTGGAGACCATTTTCAATTGATTTCCCAATGTGATGTCAAATAATTTTTGCTTACCATTCCACTTTTGGACAAAGGGGCCAGAAAGAATTCTCATGAATCCTGCAAGACAGACTATGTCTATGGAGAACTCTTCAAGGACTAGGTCAATTGCACTGTCAAATTCTACACGATTTTTATACAGTTTATGATTAATTACCTGTAATAGAAAAAGATAAGCACAACCCTTTTCAATGAATTACCAAAAATAATTAAAAACTCAACCTTTACACAGACCATACTTCACTTCCTTGTAAAGATATACCTGATAGAGAGATTATTAAGAAAGGGACAGGATGAAGAAGGCAAGCCCAGCACCCACCCAAAATGGCGAAGTCCCAAGAACAAGTGCCCATAGACCAGGGTCCTGTGAGGGCAGATTACGAGCTTAAATATGGCCCACAGCAAAGATATTTTCCCAAGTAACTTACTCTAGTGGGAATACCAGCTCTTTCCGCTTTATCTAACCCAGCTACTGCGGCTTTGTTGGAGATAACAATATCAATTTGTGCAGAGCTATTTGGTTCCCGAGTACTGTCTATAAGTGCTTGCAGGTTCGATCCTGAGAAGGGAGAAAAACAGCAGTGAGCTCATACTACTACTTCTTTTTTTTTTTTTGAGAGGGAGTCTCACTCTGTCGCCCAGGCTAGGAGTGCAGTGCCACGATCTGGGTTCACTGCAACCTCCACCTCCCGGGTTCAAGCAATTATCCTGCCTCAGCCTCCTGAGTAGCTGGGATTACAGGAGCCCACCACCACACCTGGCTAATTTTTGTATTTTTAGTAGAGATGGGGTTTCACCACGTTGGCCAGGCTCGTCTGGAACTCCTGACATCAGGTGATCCGCCCACCTCGGCCTCCCAAATTTGGGATTACAGGCATGAGCCACCGCGCCCAACCTCACACTTTTTAAAAAAAGAGATGTGCCATTTTGAATAGGGGACAGTCAAATTTTCTGAATAAATGTCTTGGAAAAGACTGGTGATATGTGAGGCTTCTAAATTCCCTTTCTCTTGGCACAGGCAACTAAAGTAAATATGGAAAAAGCTTCTGTATAGCAATGGAAACAATCAACAAAGTAAGGAGACAACCCACAGAATGGTAGAAAATATGTGCAAACTACCCATCTGACAAGGGATTAATAACCAGAATATATAAGGAGCTTAAACAATTCATTAGGGAAAAATCTAATACTCTGATTAAAAATGGGCAAAAGATCTGAATAGACATTTCTTAAAAGAAAACACACAAATTGCAAACAGGTATATAAAAAGGTGCTCAACATCATTATCATCAGAGAAATGCAAATCAAAACTATGACATATTGTCTCGCCCCGGTTAAAATGGCTTTTATCCAAAACACAGGCAATAACACGCTGGCGAAGATGTGGAGAAAAGGGAACCGTCACACACTATTGGGAAGGTAAATTAGTACAATTATTATGGAGAACAGTTTGAAGGGTCCTCAAAAATTAAAAAAAAGAGCTACCATATCATCCAGCAATCCCATTGCTAGGTATATACCCAAAAGAAAGAAAATCAGTGTATCAAAGAGATACCTGCAGTTTCATGTTTATTCTCCCTAGCCAAGATTTGGAAGCAACCTAAATGTTTATCAGCAGACAAATGGATAAAGAAAATGTGGTACATCACACAATGGAGTACTATTCAGCCATAAAAAAGATGAGATCCTGTCATTTGCAACAACATGGATGGAACGGGAGGTCATTAAGTTAAGTGAAATAAGTCAGGCACAGAAAGACAAACCTCACATGTTCTCACTTATTTGTGGGAGCTAAAAATTAAAACAGTTGAACTCATGATGATAGTGCAATGATGGTTACCAGAGGCTAGGAAGGGTAGTGGGAGAGACGGGGAGAGGGGATGCTAATGGGTACAAAAATATAGTTAGAATGAACAAAATCTAGTGTTTGATAGCATAACAGGGTGACTATAGTCAACAATAATTTATTACACATTTTAAAATAACTGGAAGAGGCTGGATGTGGTGGCTCACACCTATAATCCCAGCACTTTGGGAGGCCAAGGCAGGCGGATCATACTGAGGTCAAGAGTTCAAGACCAGCCTGACCAGCCTGGCCAACATGATGAAACCCCATCTCTACTAAAAATACAAAAAATTAGCCAGGCATAGTGGCAGGTGCCTGTAATCCCAGCTACTCAGGAGGCTGAGACAGAAGAATCACTTGAAACTGGGAGGCGGAGTTTGCAGTGAGCCGAGTCTGCGCCACTGCACTCCAGCCTGGGCGACAGAGTGAGACTCTATCTCAAAAACAAAAACAAAAACAAAACAAAAAAAAACTGAAATAAAATAACTGGATTGTTTGTAACACAAAGAATAAATGCTTGAGGTGATGAATACCCCATTTACAGGGATGTGATTATTACAGGTTGTATGGCTGTATCAAAAGATCTCATGTACCCTATAAATATATATACCTACCATGTACCCATACAAATTAAAAATTAAAAAAACTCCCTTCCTCTTGGGATAATGGATTAATAGATTGTGAAAAGCACAGATATTCCTGGATAGCCTCCAGTTCCATCCATATTGCTGCAAACGACGTGGTTTAGGATATGTAATTGCTCCTAGGATATGTAATTGCTCCCACAAATTCTGTATCTTGTGATCTAGCATTGTAGTAGAAACAGTATAACATTATGTTAAAACTGACTGATGAGAAATAAGCTGCTTAATTAAGCAAGAAAAACTGACCCTCTCAAGAACAAACCACTATGCTATGACTCTTACAATAGTTTCTTTAAAAAAAAAAAATTTTAGATTCGGGGGTACACACGCTTGTTTATTACATGGGAATGTTGTATAATGGTGGGGACTGGGCTTCTAGTGTACCTATTACCTACATAGTGAACATTATACCTGATAGAAAAATTTTCAACCCTCACCTCTTCTCCCACACTTCCCTGTTTTGTATCTATTGTTTCCATCTTTTTTTTTTTTTTTTTTTTTGAGATGGAGTCTTGCTCTGTCTCCAGGCTGGAGTACAGTGGTGCAATCTCAGCTCATTGCAACCTCTGTCTCCAGGGTTCAAGCAATTCTCCTGTCTCAGCCTCCAGAGTAGCTGGACTACAGACGTGTGCCACCATGCCCAGCTAATTTTTGTATTTTTAGTGGAGACAGGGTTTCACCATGTTGGCCAGGATGGTCTCGATCTCTTGACCTTGTGATCCGCCCGCCTCAGCCTCCCAAAGTGCTAGGATTACAGGCGTGAGCCACAGCACCCGGCCCTATTGTTTCCATCTTTATGTCCACATGTACCCACTGTTTAGCTCCCACTCATAAGTGAGAACATGCAATATCTGGTTTTCTGTTTCTGAGGCAGTTCACTCAGGATAATGGCCTCCAGTTCCATCCATATTGCTGCAAATGATGTGGTTTTATTCTTTTTTATGGCTGCATCTTACAATAGCTTCTTTGCTTTATTATCAACTTGGGCCTAAAGTACATTAAAACCTTAAGATCGACCTGTAAAGCAATTAAACTTCTGGGAATGAATCCTGAAGAAGTATCAGAGCTGGTTGTGGTGCTGCATGCCTGCAGTCCCAGCTACTCGGGGGGCTAATAAGGCGGAAGGATTGCTTGAGGCCAGAGCTGGAAGCTGCAGTGTACTATGACTGCATCTGTGAATAGCTACTGTACTCTAGCCTGGGCAACATAGCAAGACTGTCTCAAAAAGAATCACTATGATCTTGGCCATCAAATAAAAAAAAATCACATATGCATTTAAGAACATACTGAATATTTGCAAGAATGTTCATAGCAGTGTTACTTACAATAGAGGGAAAAAAATCAGGCTACATCCATCTGAGAGAATACAATACTCTTATTACTTTACCCCTCTATCCATAAAGGTTAAACATAAACTTCTTCTAATTAATAAGATAACAATAAAAATTCCTCAACTGTTTTCAGACTTTTCAACAACAAAGCTATGATACAAAATGAGCTGTAGCTTCTATCTTTTCTGGTTTCTCTTTAACCAGCTTTCTGACATCCTTTACTTTTTTCTTTGGGAGCTGTCTCAAATTCCTAAGAAAAGTGGAAAGACTAAGAATGCTGAAAAGACAAAGACAACCCTCATGATTCCCCCCAGTCCCTAGACTCTGCCGAGAGTAACCTTACAATCTCACAAGAGTGCGGGGAGGAAAGGAAGGGCAGTCAACAGCTCTACAGTGAAGGGGAAGCCACATCTCACCTGTTCCAGATATTAAGACAGCCACTCTGGCCTTTTTTTTTTCAAAAGAGAAATGATTTGTCAGGGAGCCATTCTTCAACACTGACCCATTTATTTGCATGCTTTCAATCAGATTCTTGACTTTCACACGTGGGGAACCTTCATTTCAAACATATCCATAAATAAGTAAAGAACAATTGTGAATTAACAAGAATAATGGAAAGAAAAATATTTTATGAAAACTTTAGGGTATGTTTTATCCTGAAAATAAGATAATGCAAGGACTAAAATGAACAACACATTTGTATCACTTAACACTACTCTTTCATAAAAACTTCCAAAAGGTGAACATATGTAATTACTTCAACTAAAAGCTGCAGATCACATCACTATCTTGAAGTGCACGGTGGATATATATGACTGCCTGCCAGTATTCTGCCCCTACTCCCCAAATCTTCCTAGCGAGACCACCCACAGTAGTGCCATGATCTCCTGGTCTCGGGGATAAGCATGTGACCTAGCAAAGCCATTTAAAGGCTTGATATGCGATGTTAAGAAAAAGAGGGTCTCTCTTTTTTTTCTTTTTGAGATGGAGTCTCGCTCTGTTGCCCAGGCTGGAGTGCAGTGGCGCGATCTCGGCTCACTGCAAGTTCCGCCTCCTAGGTTCACGCCATTCTCCTGCCTCAGCCTCCCGAGTAGCTGGGACTACAGGCGCCCGCCACCACGCCCGGCTAATGTTTTGTATTTATTAGTAGAGACGGGGTTTCACTGAGTTAGCCAGGATGGTCTTGATCTCCTGACCTCGTGATCCACCCGCTTCGGCCTCCCAAAGTGCTGGGATTACAGGCGTGAGCCACCACGCCCGGCTGGGTCTCTCTTTCTTATTGTAATGTGAGCTGAAGGATGTTATCTTTCCGGCATTTGGAGAACCCGCTTGAAAATGAATCCTACACAATAGAGGAAAGAAAGGCAGATACAGGTAAAGTCAACAAGGTCTGACATTTTTTTTTTCTATTTTTTATTTTTGTGAATCTTCTCTGTATCGTTCCAATTTTAGTATGTGTCCTGCCAAAGCAAGCATGTGACGTCTTTGTTAGTGAATCTGAGTGGATTTTCTGCCCCTCTGCCAAGTTCTAGCACTTCTCGCAGAGTCCTGACTGATACAGTACTTGTCAGGGTGCTTGCTCGCTATTCCTTGAATCGAGCTGAGTGACAGCAGAGCCATGAGGTCTTGTGTGTAGGGAGATTACTTTGGGAAGCGATCCTGTGGGGTGTGGCTGTGCATGCATGAATGCTTAGTTCTGAGGCAGAAATGAAGAGATACGTGGTATCGCTGGGGTGGGTGCTGTCATGTTACATCTGTGTAAAGATAGTTGCCATAGCGATGGCTGCACTAAAAGGTGGGCAGAAAGCTTGTGAGGCAAGGCTGAGGTATAGCTAAAATTATACAGCTAAAATTATATATCTAAAAATGAGTAAGGAGCAAGTACCTTCAGCTCGTGCAACCACACTGCCAATCACCCAGGCTTCTTCCTTGTGCTGCTGGATATCCCTCAGAATCTGCTCTGTCTGCTCCTTTGATACCACAAGGACAGCGCCAACCCCACAGTTAAATGTTCTGGCCATCTCTTCCTCAGAGAGGTGTCCTTCCTGCTGCAACCATGAGAAGACCCTGGGGATCCTCCAGGTCTGGGCATCTGAAAAAAATAGACACGAATTGTTTGATTTTCCTACCTTCTCACACAAAGTACAAAAGTATGCACATATTCAAAGATGTGGAAATTATAATCAGGCTCTGCTATTTTATGTAGGGTAAAACTATAAATTGGCCTCTGAGAACTTTTTATTTGGGGATCCATTTGTACCTTAGACATTAAGAACATTTTTTTGTTGACACACTTGGCCAGTACTCACAAATGAGTGAGGTTTTGTGCTACATTAACTAACTAGACCCTTAGACATTCCCTAATGGATCAGATGAGCTAGTAGCTGAATTCCAGCAAAGGCCAGTATACCATCCTTTTGTGAATGTTTGGCTGAGTCTTTGTGATGACCAAAATGCACCCAAAGTACAATGCAAAACTAGATGGCTTATCTACATATTTAGAGAAAATGCATACACTCCTCAAGAAAAGTTATGTTAATGGAAGGCGGATCAACACCCTCTCCCTCTCATTCTTTTTAAAATTTAGACTTCCTAGGTCTGCTATAAGAATACATTCTCTCGGCCGGGCGTGAGAATCCCAACACTTTGGATTACATGCCTGTAATCCCAACACTTTGAGAGGCTGAGGTGGGCGGATCACGAGGTCAGGAGATCGAGACCACCCTGGCCAAGATGGTGAAACCCATTCTCTACTAAAAATACAATAATTAGCTGGGCGTGGTGGCGCACACCTGTAGTCCCAGCTACTCGGGAGGCTGAGGCAGGAGAATCACTTAAACCTGGGAGGTGGAGGTTGCAGTGGGCCGAGATGGTACCACTGCACTCTAGCCTGGTGGACAGAGTGAGACTCCGACTCAAATTGAAAAAAAAAAAAAAAAAAAAAAGAATACATTCTCTCTTATCACAAATAATACAACAAAAATCTCTAATAAAAATTTTTAGGTAAAGGTCTATATACACACACACAACATTTCTGAATTTAAAAAGAATCTGGATAGTTCTTTGGAATCTACGATTATGGGATCTGATTTTTTAAAAAAACTATACTGAATTAAATTATTTATGATGCTCTTAAGAAAGGGAAGCCAATGTGAACTCAGCTTTTTATTAAATAATAAGGTTTACTATCAGT